>NC_000001.11:56068986-56220501 GCF_000001405.40 Homo sapiens | reverse complement strand
CAGGAAATCCTTGGTCTTGAGAGATTTGGACCACACTTCCAACTTTGATGTTCTATACCATTCTCACAGCTGAACAAATATGACATATATAATTGTTGAGCCCACCACTGATTTTATGAATTAATTCTTGGGATTTATGGTGTTTTGTTTTTTCTTTTCAAAGCACCTTACAATCGTTAATTATTTAAGCTGCCTTACATCCCTTAGAAGAAGGAGAAGGATATTATTCTGCCCTGATCCTGCGGGGAGGTGGAGGTCGAGAGAGGTGGAATACCAGTGGTTGCCAGAGTCAAGGGGAGGAGAGATCAGGTTGCACCTGAGTGAACTCAGAAAGTTTTATTATTGAGGAAATCCTGCAGGCGAGATGGGACAGGGGCTTCTTTCATGGATTTTTGGGTTAGTAGATGACAGTGCAAAGGCCATTCTTGATACCTAACCATAAGAATAATAGCTATCATTTTTTGAATACTTACTATTAATATATGGCAGATGTTCTACCATGCCATTAAACATTTTTAGTTTAATTTCAAATGAGAAATATGAGATGGCTGATGATAAAAATAATAGCTACCGTTTATTAAGAAGTTTGTTTTTTTGAGATGGAATCTCATTTTGTAACTTAGGCTGGAGTGCAGAGGTGTGAACACAACTCACTGTAGCCTTGACTTTCCAGGCTCAAGTGATCCTCCCACCTCAGCCTCCCAAGGCCGAGGTCCCTCCTGGAACCACAGGCACATGCCACCATGCACAGCTAATTTTTTTTTGTATTTTTTAAGACAGGGTTTCACCATGTTTTCCAGGCTGGTCTTGAACTCCTGGGCTCAAATGATCCACCCACCTTAGCCTCCCAAAGTGCTGAGATTACAGGTGTGAGCTACCATGCCCGGCCCATTTATTGAGAACTTAACATGTTTTGCCTTTTTGGATCCTTGGAGCAACCTCATAAGGCTCCTAAATTACAGTAGAGAATCGAATAACCCAAGTCACATACTTGATACATAATAAAACTGAGATTTGAATCTTGGATTTATCTGCTTCCAAAGCCTGAAGTCTCTCCATTTAGTTCTACTGGCAAATCATTGACTATCTCTGAACCTCAGTTTCTTCATTTGTAAAATGGGGATAATAATATCTAAATTATAGGACATAATGAGGATTCACTATGATAATATCCTTGGCACTCAATAAGGATATGGTAGAAAGATCACAAGCTTTAACACAGTAAAGACTGGGGTTTGAATTTAATCTTAATACTTAATAACCATAATATCTTACATTTGTTACTTAGATTCCTGAATTTCAATTTTCTTATCTGTAAAATAGTGATAATATTAGCTACCTTACCAGTTTTGGTGAAGATTAAATAAAAGGATCCATACAAAGTGCCTAATTCAGTGCTTGGCACATAGCAGGACTCAATGTAAGCTGTGATTTTTTGTTTGTTTGTTTTATTTTTTTTCCTTCTTTCCCCTTCTGGGCTGTATTCTCTGATATTCTTACTTTTGGATTGTCTGTCAGTAAATAACACCACATCTTCTCGAATGCTATGTAAAATCTCGAAATTCGTTTAAAACAATTTCTTATCCTTGTCATTCTCATTTAACCAACTGCCAGTACTATTTAATTAACTATATGGGACATAGAACTGTTTCATCAGTATCTACCAGCATTCTGATTTTAAGGCCCTCCTACTTTGTGAGGCACAATTATAAGAACCCACATTACTTATTTCCTTTGACTTGCCTGAAGCAGGAATGCTGGTAAATTCTTATGCCAGTTTCTCAGTATTCTACTGAGGAGATGCCCTCTATACCTCTATGCCTATGCAAATAAAGGAGAAAAAGAAAGAAAAATCCACTTGAGATGTTTTATTCTAAGTGTGTGTGTATCTCTGAAGTTTGATGCCCGTGACTTTTCAGCAATTGGAGTCAACATCCCTGGAGACTATTTTTTTTGCCATCAAACAAACATTTGGTAATAAATTGAATCAAATTTCTCTCCCTCCACCCTCCCCACATTGCCTCACCTTGCCTCAATGTCTGGGTAAACTCTTAAGTTTCTCAGAAAAGCTCTGAAATCCAGGTGCAATGAATCACCCTCGCGTGATAGAAAACAGTAAATAATAATCACTGTTAGAGTGAACAATGGACTCTTCTTCTCATTCTCTTTTTCACTATTGACAACATGGCTTTGGGACCTTGAGGAGATTATAGAGGGGAAAATTTTGCCTAAATATTGCTATGACATATGTCCAGAAACTTCTAACGCACGTTTGGTGCTTGCCCAGGGCCTATTGGCTCAAACACCAACCTTCAGTTTCCATTCTCTGGGCTGTGGAAATCTAGGACCTCTCACCCTACAAAGCCTCCACTTCATTGGCTGAGCTGCACTAGGTGGCTCATTGACTCATACATCCTATGGCTTCATTTGAGACTCTGGGCTAGGGACTGATTAGAGCTTTGTCTCCAAAATGCTGAAGGTTTCCAGATGAATTGGCCTCTATAAGAGTTCTGATTAAATGGTATATAAAATAATGGAGAACTCTTTTGCTTATTTTAACTTTGGGAAAAAAAAAGTTGGAGAAACTAGACTCTTCACTTCTATGCAAGATATTTTCCAGTTCTAAGATATTTCTATTCCTGCTTCTTTACCATGCAACAGCAATAGTAACACAGGGACATTAATGCGTAACACCTGTATGGAGATAAAGATGTGTCAGAAATTATTCTAAGCATTTCAAATATATTAGTTCATGTAATCCTCACAATAGTGCTATGGGACATGCATAATATTATTATTCCATCATTATTATTCTGATTTTGAGGTTAGACATTGAGAGATTAAGCAATTTACTGGTGTTCTAATCCAGGTACTCTGGCTCCAGGGTTAGTGTGCTAAACAATAGTAAGTATGAAATAGTAAGGATTACCTTGCATAGATATTTAGAGTTTACAACAAGTGTTCACATATATTATCTCATTTTATTACCACAAGAATCTACTAGAGTAGACAAAGAATATCTATTATTCCTTCATCACTGGGAGGCTGTAATATAATAGCTAAGAGCATGAACTTTGAATTTAGAAAAATATAGGCTTGAATTTTTGCTCTGAATTTCTGAGTCTCTATTTCTTCACCAGTAAAATGGGGGTTACAATGCCATTTTATAAAATTTTTGTGAGGAGTAAATGAAATAATGTAAACAAAGCACTTCATGCTGCACTGAGTAAATGTTAACAGCTAGCCTTCCTCCCTTCTTTCCTTCCTTCTTTTCTTTCTTCCATACTTCCTTCCCTCTCTCAATAAATACTGGGCTTTGTATCTGTACTAAATTATATACACACAAAATTATACATATATTTTTATATATGATATATGGATACTCATATATTAAATCTATTTTATATAAAATATAAAACATAATATAATCAGTTTACTCTCTAAACCCTATTTCAGGCATTGGTGAGAATAAATTAAGTTAGAGATTGAGTTGAAAGAATAAGTAGTATAGTTAAAAGTATATTTATTGTGTACCTCTTATGAGCAGGTATTGTACTAGGAAGGGAACGTGGGTATAAAAATAATTAGATGTGATCCCTACACTCAAGCAGCACATACTACTTGATGAATGAAAGCAAGAAAACTTATTGAGGGCTCACTCTGTGCCAAGTACTGTATATTACTTATGAAATCTCATTATGATCTCATTTGGCTGCTGAGGAAACTGAGGCTTGGAGAAATAGGTAGAGTGATTTTCTCTAGATCATTGTTATCTGATAATATTTTCTAGGTAATGTAAATATTCTATTTGTGCTGTCCAATATGGACACTAGACTGTTGATTACTTGAAATGTGGCCAGTGCAACTCAGAAACTGAATATTTAATTTTATGTAATCTTAATTCATTTACATTTAAATAGCCACCTGTAGCTGGTTGTTGCCATATTGGAGAGGGCAGCTGCAGAAGATGAAATAGCTGGAAGTAGTAGACTCTGTGCCATCTGAGCCCTGCTCTTCTTGACTGCAAAGCCAGGATTTTTTTTTTTCCATTATGTGAGTAAGCACGGCTCAAGGCTTCCAAATTTTTCCTAATGTGTTAGGGGAAAACCCCTTGCCAGCAGAAGACAGGCAGTCCTGATGGCGGGGGTAGTGTGAAGAACATCCACCCACACATGGCACACACATTTCCTCCTTGCTCAGAGCGAGGACTGGGACTGTGAGCACTCATCCTTTTATACTACAGCCCTAAAAACTAGGAAGCTTTTGCATGCGTGGATTTCCCTTTGTTGCAATAGCAATCTTTGAAAAATTTCTAGTGTTATTGACACAATAAGAAGACCAACTAACATCCTAAGTAGGGAGGACTTCTGAAATCCTTTAGTGGGAAAATAGGAAAAAGGCTGCTTGTTGTTAGGGTGAGGCATTATAACACTATAGGCCAAAGGCTTTTAGATTTTCTTGTTGCCATCTTCAGGATTTCAAAAGCCGTATCACCAACAATACGTTTGTTGCCAACCTGACTATAAAGATGTGATGACTCAATTCTTCCTATGGCCTAGGCTGACAAAAAGACTTCAGAATTCTAAATAAATACAGTTGGCCCTTGAACAACATGGGTTTGAACTGCACGGGGCCACTTACACCAGACTTTTTTTCAACCAAACATGGGTGGAAAGTATTCATGGCATGTATACACGGGTGCCACAGGGCCAGCTACTGGACTTGAGTATGCACGGATTTGGGTATATGTGGGAAGTTCTACTACCACAGGTCCTTGTTACAACAGGGACGACTGTAGTAGCATTTGTTTTTTGGTCTTTACTATTGCTATCATTATTATTAATAATAAGGCATTTAGTTTGTATAGGAAACACCGGTCAGGGCAGGTGTTAGGTACATTACCATACATACAGAGAATTTGTGTGTGTAAGGCAGTAAATAGCCTTATAATTTCTGGAAAAATGATTTATTCACTAATTTATTCATTCAGCCAATACTGATAGTTAACAAAATTCAGAAACAATCAAATAAAATACTGACAGATAGGTGCCAGAAAGAAAATGCTCAGGAAGCTGCAGTAGTAGAGAAAGAACTACTTTGGACAAGATAGTTAGGAACTTTCTGAAGAGATGACCTAAAGCTCACACATAGATGTTGAAGGGCAAGCCATGAAAGTGACTGGGAAGAGCATTCTGAGCAGAGGACGTTTTAAAAAAGGCTCTGACGCACACCGGATCTTGAAACATTCAAGGGTAATTATCAAATTTCTGATGCTTATCAGATGTTTAAGAGAGGATGTCAAGTAGGCAATTGGATATGCAGATATAGAACTCAGGGGAGAGGACTTGTTGGATAAATAAATTTGGGAGTCATCAATCATAGATGGTATTAAAATAATGTGGCTGGATGAGATCACTTATAAGCTGTGTAGGTAGGAAAGAAACAAAGGACTAAGACAGAACCTGAGGAACTACAACATTTAGAGATTAAGCAAAAAAGTAAGGCAATACAAAGAAAAATTAAAAGCAGAAGCTCAGAAAATGAGAGGAAAATCAGGACTGGTGTCATAAAAGCCCTAAAGGAAATAGTCTTTTGAGGAAGAGGTGGCCAAAGAGGACAAACCCTACTGGGAGTAACATGCAGCCGAGGACCCACTGGATTTGGCAGGAGAGAAGACCACTGACAAACTTGTTAAGGGAAGTTCCATCAAGGTAGTAGAGATGGAGGCCTATTATAGTGTACTGAAGAGTGAAAGGGGAAATACTCTCTTGTATATTTCACTTTTTTCTTTGTGAACTTTTGCTGTAAAGAAAATAGAACATGACAGTAGCTGGAAGGGGATGTGGAATCAAAAGTTTTTAAGGTGAACAATATTTGAGAATATGTTGATGGAAAGGATTCAACAGAGTGGAAGAGACGGGCAATGCAGAATAGAAAGAGGGTAATCAAAGAACTAGCATTCATGAGAAATGAGAATGAAACTGAGCATAGCTGAGCAGCTGGTCCTTGGAAGGAAGAGAGATTGTAACTGTAGGGAGGGAGGAGAAGAAACATCCAGAGGAAGGAAGGGTTATAGATTAACAGTGGGGAAAGGAGGAGCTACCCTTTATTGGCTTCATTTTCTCACTGAAATCAGGCAAGGGCATCAAATGAATGTTAGGACTGTGGAAGGAGGCAGAGTGCTTGAGAAGAGCAAAAATATAAAACGGTTGTCTTGAAAATGTAGGAAGTAAACTACCCAAGTAATCGGTCGTAATGTTCATCAGTGTTGAGTGCCCAATTGGGACTCAAGATTTGTGATTACAGTGTTAAAGTGAAGTAGACTCTTAATTGTGTAATTTTCCTCTAGGAGTGGGCACAGAGGAGACAGTTAGATTCAGCCAGAGTTGGAACTTTGTCATGTGAAAGAGGGGCAAAGGGGTTGAGACTTTTGTAAAGGAATTATTAAAATGATAGGCCCAGGAAAACTTGACGAGGTGGGTCAATGGCTTAGAAATCGAGAATTGTTGCATGAAGTTGCTAGAGAAAGTAAGCAGGAAGGGTTGGAGGTGAGGATCACAAAGCGAGATGCTTGAAAATGAAATTTAGGAGGTGGTGCATTTACTGGGGATGCCAAGGCTCAGACTGTGACCATGGGAATGAAAAAGAAGGTCATTGGAGGAGAAGTGGTCAAGCAACTGACAAACTGGGGTGTTGACTGGGCCAGCAAGATGGCTGATGCAGAAATAATAATGCCAGATTTTAGAGTAGAAAGTTTGAATTATTTAGGATTTGGTATGAAATTCATGCTTTTTCTTTGCTCTATGAGATGCAGCAGTGTGGTAGAGTCAGGGCTCCAGGTTTTGAATTCTATCACTTAAAGTGTGGCAATTTTCTCCTTTCCTTTATCCTCAACTCTCTCCCTTTTTTCCTTCCTTTCTTTTTGAGAGTCTCCTAGATTTCAAGCATCATGCAAGGTGATAGGGATATAATAGAAAGGAGACATAGCATCTGCTTCATAAGGCTTATACCAGAGATAGAGGCAATCCAATAATTAGGCAAATGTATACTTATGAAATGTGCCAAATGTTGTAAAATAAAGTATTAGTGGCTATTAGATTTTGTAACAAATAATCTGCCTTCATTAAGGGGGAGAGAGAGTCAGGGAAGCTTTCCCTGAGGAAAGGATGTTTGAGATGAGATCTTGAAGGATGAATAGGAGTTAACTTGGACTGTGGTGTAGGGCTAGGAGAGATGGGGATTATGTTACAGGCAGAAGGACCTGCATATGCAAAATTGCTGGGTTTAAAGGGATCTTGTCCTTTGGAAAAACTGACATATAAGATTAGTGTGTCTGGAACTTAGACAGCAAAGGCATGAGATGGGGTTGAAAAGCTGAGTGGAAGCCAGGCTTTGCAACACAATTTAGGTTACATAAAGATTTTGGTCTTTAACTCAAAAGTGACACGAATAATTTGAAAAGGTTTGTGTAAAGAAGTTGCACAGTGTTAGTTGTATTTTTCAAGAGACCATTTGCTACTGTGTAATGAAAATTGAAGGATGATAGAGGTGAACTTGGAAATTATCTGTAGTCAATGGTAGTAAGCCCAGGTGAGAGAATAATTAGCCTCAGGGTAAAAAATGTTGGGTGGAAAGAAGTGAATGGACTTGAGGAATAATTAGAAAAGTAGGACTATAAGATGGTATGAATGAGCAGATTGCATGGAAAGGAAGGAATCAAGAATTATGTTAATTTTAGGTTTATGGCATCTCACCAAGCTTTGTCTTCATCTCCATAACAGAAATTACATATGTGAAAGTGCATTATAGCATGCTATTTTTATTATCTGTGAGAATATTTAGGAGTGAACTATATACTAATAAGCTAATCATCAGATGGTCTATTTCTCAAAGTAGATGGTAAGATCCTTGAGGACAGAGACTAACTATACATTATTTTGTGTCTCTAGTTCATATAATATTATACCCGTCACAGGGTAATTAGTTTTGCCCTCTGTGTTGGTCCTTGATCTTTTTGCCCTGAGATTCAGCCGTACACTTCCCTACTTGCTTTTATATTGTAGTGGGCTGGTTCCTGAAGTCTCTTACCTTAGGCTCCTACATCAACCAGCTAGCTTCTGTCTGGATTTGCCTGTTGCAATGTACTGGAGAGATTGCAATAGGAAGAAGGGAGAAGCCAGGGGTTTTCTCTCTGTGTCTTGGGTAGTATCTGAGGCCCTTGACTCATGGTGATTCTAGGTTCAGCCAGGTGACCTGGATGCTTAGGTACTTGTCTTTGTTTTTTAAGCCTAGGGGTGGTAGTAACTCCCTGCTGTTGCTAATCTCTGGGGTGCCTCATGGTCTCTTCTGCAGCCTCTCACTCTTTCATCACCTCTGTAACCAATCTCTCATATTAAAATTTTCTATTTTAGACATTTAGAATAGTTTTTGTTACATCCTGTGAGGTTAGATCTTGACTTATACACACATGGGCCAACTTTGATTAATTGTCAAATAGCATTCTTTTCCACAATGCAATATTTATATACAAATAACCTTCGACATTTTAAAACAATAAAAAACAAGATACTTTCAACATAAACAAATATCAAAATTATAAACAAACTTAGAATGGTATTCCTTATAATTTAGCAATAACAACATTAATTATAAGTTTTTTCAACTTATTTTTTCAGCAGACTGAGCTTCAGAGCTGAGACAAATGTTTCATTTAGTGTTCTTTAAATAGCATTTAGCTAGTTCTAATTTGAAGAAAAAACGTTCATCAGTAGAGACAGAGAGAGAAATCAAAAAATAAAATAAACAAGTAACATACTTTGGAAAAACTTGTCATTATGTCATAGTATTACATGCTATCTTGGCAAATTTATGGATAGTTTTAATTTTTTGTTTCACTTGGTAATGGTTTTATATAAAACAGTGATATCATGGGCAAGGATTCTGTTATGTTGCTTGAAAATTTACTTGGAGTCTTCTCTGTGTTCCTTACAATAGACTTTTTCAAGATAGCATTATTAATTGATTTACTGATATACTTACTGGCTTATTAAAAATTTATGGAATGACTACTGTATTTTCCTTAAAAAATAAAATATTTACATACAGAACAATTCTTTAATGGACCTTCCTTGAACGTTAATGAGGTTATCAATCTATTTTTGAAATAATTTATTCAGGTGAAATTCATATAACAAAATTACCCATTTTACAGTGAACAACTCAGGGCAGTTAGTACATCCATAATATTGTGTAATTATCACCTCTATATGGTTCCAAAACATTTCCATCATTCCCAAGTAGAACTCTTTAGCTATTAAGTGCTTTCTTCCCATTCCCTCTCCCTCTAGGCCCTGACAACCACCAATCTTCATTCTTTATGGATTTACCTAATCTGGATATCTCATAAAAATAAAATCAGATGAGATGAGACCTTTTGTATCTGGTTTGTTTCATGGCTGAATAATAATCCACTTGCATGTACAGTCGTCCTTTGGTATCCATGGGGGATTGGTTCCAGGATTGGTTCCGGGTAGTATTTGCATGTGACTTATGCACATCCTCTCATATACTTTAAATTATCTCTAGATTACTTATAATGTTTACTGCAATGTAAATACTATATACAAATTGTTACACTATATCATTTAGGAAATAATGACAAGAAAAAAGGTATGTACATGTTCAGTACAGACACAATGTTTTTGAATAGTTTTGATTCATAGTTGGTTGAATCCATGGATGAAAAACCCAGGATATGGAGGGCTAACTGAATATAATACACATTTGTTTATCCTTTCATCTGTTGATGGACATTTGAAATGTTTCTATCTTTTGGCTATTGTGAATAGTGCTGCTATTAACAATTATGTGCACATGTACTTGTTTGCATACCTGTTTTTATTTCTTTTGAGTATAGCCCTAAAAGTGGAATTGTGGGGTCATATGACAATTTTGTGTTTAACTTCTTGAAGAATTGCCAAATTATTTTCCATGGTAGCTGAACTTTTGTACATTCCTAACAGCAGTGTACAAGAGTTCCAATTTATCTGTGTCCTGGCCAATACTTGCTCTTTTCTGCTTTAAATATTACTATAGTCGTCCTAGTGGGTGTGAGGTAGAACTTCATTGTAGTTTTGATTTGCTTTTCCCAAATGACTAACAATGTTGAGCATTTTTTCATGTGCTTGTTGGCCATTTGTATATCTTCACTGGTGAGGTGTCTATTTAAGTCCTTTGCCCCACTTTTAAATTGGGTTGTTTGTCTTTTTGTTGTTGAGATGTGGGAGTTTGTTATATATTCTGGATACTAGGCTTTCGTCAGATATATCATTCGCAAATATTTTCTCTTATTCTGTAGGTTTTCTTTTCACTTTCTTTTTAATGTCCCTTGAAACACAAAGGTTTTAAATTTTGAAGAAGTCTAATCTATCTGCCTTTTCTTTTGCTGCTAATGCTTTTGATGTCACATCCAAGAATCCATTGCCAAACTCCTTTGGTAATGATGAAGACTGATCTGCTTTTATTTCATTAATTTTTTAAAAATAAATTTTATTATGTATATTTAAGGCTTATAACATGATCATGTTATGGAATACATATAGATAGTAATAAGGTTACTATATGGAAGCAAATTAACATATCCATCATCTCACAGTTACTTTTTTTGCATGTGGCAGGAGCAGTTAAAATCTACTCATTTGGTATGAATTGCAAATACAGTGCAAGTTTATTGTTTATCTCCCTCATGTTATACATTACATTTCTAGACCTGTTTATTCTACATATCTGCTACTTTGTACCCTCGACCTACATCTCCCCATTTCCTTCCCATTTATACTCTTCCCTGCCATTGGTAACCAATATTTTGTTCTCTGTATCTGTATATTTAATTTTTTTAGATTCCATATATAAGTGAGATAATGCAATATTTTTCTCTTTGTGTCTAGCTTATTTTACTTAGTATAATGTCCTCCAAGCTCATCCATGTTGTAGAACATGGTAAGAGCTTGTTATTTTTTAGGGCTTAATAATATTCATATATATATGCCACTATTTCTTTACCATTCATTCATCAATAGACACTTAGGTTGTTTCCATATCTTGGCTATTTTGCATAATGCTGCAATGAACACAGGAAGGAGATATATTTATAAGATAGTGATTTTATTTTCTTTGGGTATTTGCCCAGAAAAAGGTGTGCTGGGCCATATGGTAGTTCTATTTTTAATTTATTTAGAAATCTCCATACTGGTTTTCATAATAATCATACCAGTCTTCATTTTCACCAACAGCACACAAGAGCTCCCTTTTCTCCACACCCTCACCAACATTTATCTTTTGACTTTTTAGTAGCCATGCAAACCAATATGAGGTAGTATCTCATGATGGTTTTGATTTGCATTTCCCTGATTAATGATGTTGAGCACCTATTTGTATCCCTTTTGGACATTTTTTTAACTTCTTTTGAGAAATGTCTGTTTAAGTCTTTTGCCCATTTTAAAATCAGCTTATTTGTTTTACTGCTATTGAGTTGTATGAGCTCTTTATAAATTTTGCACATTAAGCCTTTATTAGGTATATGGTTTGCAAATATTTTTCCCTATCTGTAGGCTGCTATTTCCTTTTGTTGATTGTTTCCTTTGCTGTGCAGAAGGTTTTTGGAATGATGTAGTGCCATTTATTTATTTTTGAATTTTTTGCCTGAGCTTTTAATGTAATATCTAAGAAGTTATTGCCAAGACTAATATTCAGGAGTTTTCCCCCATATTCTCTTCTAGGAGTTTCTATAATTTCTAACCTTATATTTAAGCTTTTTATCCATTTTGAGTTGGTTTTTGTGCATGGTATAAAATAAGCACCCAATTTCATTCTTTTGCATGTGGAAATAGTTTTCTCAGCATCATTATTTGAAGAGACTATTCTTTCCCCATTGTGTCCTCTTGGTGCCTTTGTCAGAAATTAGTTGACTGTAGCCATGTTACCTATAGAGGGGTCCAAATGGTGCTGTTGTGGATTTCTGCCATAACTTAAAGGGAAACTTTCACAATGTCCAAAGCCCTTGATGTCCTACAAATGAAAGAGGAGGATGTTCTTAAGTTTTTTGCTGCAGGAACCCATTTAGGTGGCAACAACCTTGACTTCAAAATGGAACAGTACATCAATGAGAGGAAAAGTCATGGCATCTACATCATAAATATGAGGAGGACCTGGGAGAAGCTTCTGCTAGCAGCTTGTGTCTTTGCTGCCACTGAAAACTCTGCTGATGTCAGTGTCATATCCTCCAAGAGTACTAGCCAATGGGCCTTGTTAAAGTTTGCTGCTACCATTGAAGCTACTCCTATTACTTGCTGCTTCACTGAAAACATCACTAACCAGATCCAGATGGTCTTTTGGAAGCCATGGGTTCTGATTGTTACTGAGCCCAGGGTTGACCTCCATCCTCTCATAGAGGCATCTTATGGTAACCTGCCTACCATTGGTTTGTGTAACACAGATTCTCCTCTGCACTATGTGGATATTGCCATCCCATGCAACAACAAGGGAACTCACTTAGTGGGTTTGATGTGATGGATGCTGGCCTGGAAAATGATTTGCATGTGTGGCACCATTTCCCGTGAACACCTATGAGGGGTTATGCTTGATCTATACTTCTACAGAGATCCTGAAGACCTTAAAAAGGAAGAACAGGCTGCTGCTGAAAAAGCTGTAACCAAGTAGGAATTTTAGATTGAATAGACTGCTTCAGCTCCTGAGTTTACTGCTACTCAGTCTGAGATTGCAGACTGGTGTGAAGGTGTGCAGCGTGGGTGCCCTCTGTGCCTATTTAGTAGTTCCCTGCTGAAGACTGGAGTGCTCAGCCTGCCATGGAAGACTGGTCAGCAGCTCACACTGCTCAGGCCACTGAATGGGTAGGAATGACCACTGAGTGGTTTTAAGATGTTTTTCCACAGACTGTTAAGCAACACAAAAATAAGGTTGATGGAAAATAATCATCAGGTTCTTACAAAATTTAGTTGACTGTATATGTTTGGATTTATTTCTGGGTTCTCTATTTTGTTCCACTGGTCTATGTGTCTGTTTTTACGCTAGTACCATACTGTTTTGATTATTATACCTTTGTGATTTAATTTAAAATCAGGAAATATGATGCTCCCAGTTTTGTTTTTCTTACTTAGAATTGTTTTGACTATTTTAAGTTTCTTATGTTTCTATATAAATTTTGGAATTGTTTTCCACTACTACTGTAAAGAATACCATTGGGATTTTCCCAATTTCATTGAATTATTTATTTGTGTTCTTGTATATTTTGCTTAGTTTCCTTAAGACCATTATTTTGAATTCCTTTTTGTGTATTTCATAAATTTTTATTTCTTGAATTCCTTTTCATGTATTTCATAAATTTTCATTTCTTTGGGGTCAGTTACTGAAGAATTATTGTGTTCCTTTGGTGGTTTCATGTTTTCTTGCTTTTTTGTTTTTTGTTTTTCTGCATTGATGTCTCAAATCTGATGGTGCAATCACCTCTTCCAAACTTTAAAGAGTAGCTTTTGTAGGGGAAGACTTTCACCTTCAGATGGGCTTGAGATGGCTGGGTAGGTAGGATGCAGTGGCTCTGGTTCCTTGTGAGTACATGATGTAGTCTCCATCCAGCTTCTTTTGTGATCAGTGTCCACAATGACTACAAGTGCCTCTATGTTCTAGGCTGCAGGAATTTGTGGCAGTGACAGTGGCTGTGTAGGTTATAAAGGCCAGGGCTTTAGCAATACTTTTGTTCTTGTCTTTCTCTCAGTGGAAAGTTTTAGCTGAGGGGATATCTGTTGATGTTGGGTCTGACACAGCCCTCAGGCAGCTGCAACAACACTGGGATCCACGGTACTAGTGCTTGGAACAGCTGTGGGGTCAGGTTCCTGGGCTCAGTGAAACTGCTGTAGCAACTGGGACTTGAGGCAGAGGTTCACTTTTCAAGGTCCAAGTGGATGCAGTTCTCCCACCAAGACAGGATCTGTTGCTCTGAGGCACACCCCAGTAGCTCAGGCCCAGAGGCTTGGGATGTGGTTGTGGTCTGTCCCTGGTGAGCAGGGAATAGCACTGGCATGTCTCGGGGGAAAAAATGGGTGCTTCAGTGGCTTAGGCTCCAAAGAGCAGGACTCAGCTGCAATTCGGGACCCCAAACCAACAGGGCACAGTGACTCTGGAATGAAGAGGATGGGGTATCTTTGTGGTAGCTTGGACCTAGTGGGTAGAGCAGAGCAGCAGTTTGTCTCAGGGGTGACTTGTTACCAGGTAGGCACATTGCAGTGGCAGCAAAACCTCAGGGATGAAGGAGTGCAATAGCTACTCACCCCTAATGTAGGATGCACTCTGGCAGTGACTCCGGTTTTAAGGTGGTAGAGTGCAGTAGCAGCATGGGTCACAGGAGCTAGGGGCACAGTAATGGCTTTTTCTCTGAGGGTAGCTTAGTGTGGACTCTGAGGAGCTTCCTCAGCTAGGTTCAGAGCCTGTGAGTACTGCAGCAGTCTCTGCTAGTGAAGACTCAGGTATTCATGATGGTGATGGCAGGTGCTGGGATCTTCTTATTTACTTTTTCTCTGCAAGAGGGACTCCCTCCTGGTTCTGAGCTGATTCCAGCTGAGTGATGGGGATACTGGAGGCAAGATGTTTCCTTGCTTTCTCTATGTGGCCATCCTGGGTTTCAATGCTCCACAGGATTTCTGCCACTTCTTTGCTGTTCTCTGGAGCTCTCTTTTAGTTATTTTGGTCAAAATATAGTTGCTTATTCCTTGTGGGTATTTTTTCTTTGTGGGGAGGAAAGAGTGCTAGGAGCTTCTAGTTGGCCATCTTACTGATGTCACTCTCCAATCTACTTTTAATGTTTGTAAATTTTTGAATATGTCTTTTATATCATGTACAACTTGACCGATATAAAACCATATATATACATATGTGCACATATTTATATGTATGTGTGATATATGACACATATTCCTTTCCAAAATATCTTTTAATTTATTGAATCATTGGATTTTTTAAACAATGTCATGAAGTACACAAAGCAATGGTGATTACTCTCCTTTTAAAGATTAAAAAACCTAAACTTTAAGGAGGAAAACTGCCTGCCAATGACTTATGAATGGCAAATAGCAGATAAAAGATGTAAGTTCAGCCATTTGATGCCAATCATGTGTCTCTCATTTTACCATCTTGTTTCACTAGATTGTTCCAGTATATTTGCTGAATAATGTGAAGGACAAGAAAGAAAACCAACATTTGTTGTGTCTCTAGTATGCACAAGACTTAATTAAGGTGCTCTTACATGCACCATTGTACAGCTCTTATACCATCCTAGAGGTGGATGTTGATATTCTGATTTTAAGATGAGGAAAATGAGGCTCAGAGAGTTTGCAATTCACTGTGTATTGTAAAATAGCCAGTATCAGAACTTTTGTTCAATCCCTAACTGGCATGATTCCTTGTGATAATAGAGCACTTAAAAGAGAGCCTAGTGGCATGGGATTGTTTCAAAGACAGATAGTAATAGAATAAAACCCCCAAACGGGATGTGATATCATAATTTTCTTCTTTGTCTTCAATCTCTTGTGTTTAATAAAATCTGAACATTTGTTTCTTACTCTTACACCTCATCTGCTTAAGTGATGTCTTGCTTTTTAAAATTACCCCTTCGACCAGTATCCTTTTCCTGACAATATTAAATACTCCCCCAACCAGGGATGTGGAACCATTTTTCACAGCTTCAGCCTCCAGTTCCAGCTGGCCAGGCCCTATGGTATAGCTCTCCCAGTCACCATGGATCCTCATCTGGTACTTAACAAATCCTGCCCCTCTCATCCATATTCTTGGCACAAGGACAGGAAATTAAAAATTAAGAGAAATTCACCTCTGACCTTTAATTTACTTTTTAATAAAAGCATTTTGAGTCACTTACATGCTTTATGCCAGACCCAAGGAGAGCCAATTTTCATGGCCCTTTAAAAGTAAACCCATTCATCTTCATGCCCTGGCATTTTTTCAGTGTGTCAATCCTCAAAGTCAATTGTTAGCCCAGAGCAGTGGTCCGTGATAAAATCCCATTCAGTGCCCAGCACATAATAGGTGCATGAGCATTGACTGTGCTCAATGAATATTAGTTGTTCTTGAAAAGTGAATGACAGTGCCCTACATAGCAAAATAAATTAATGATTAAAAGATACATCTAATGAACTCCTAACTGGGACTTACTAGAGTTATTCAACTGATGCAGCCAAATTGTTACATTTTCAAAGAATGGATATGTAGATATATTCAATTTATATAAGAATTAGGTTAATTGAATATGTTGAATACTGATAATTTGCTTGGATCTGTGTTAGACACATTGTACTGATAGCCACCATCATCCTTAAAGTCATTCTGTGGTTCCCCTTAACACGTGGAGTCAGGTAACTGGCCCACTGTCTCACTGCAGGATAGGGGGCTAGGTGTTTGCCTAGGACTGACTTTTAAGCTTTTCAAGGATATCTTGCTTATATTGGGTGATCTGTGACTTTTCTTATGGCATAAGCATCAGTCACACCCAAAAATATATGTACATATATAGTTTGTTTATAAAGGCCATTGGGAAAAAAATTCTCAAGAACATCTGAGAAAGCTGTGAGGACAATGTCATTAAGTCTGGTTCTTTTGTTTTTTCAGATTCCATATCCATTCTCCAGGCCCCCCACCCTTGTTTCTTCATTCCTAAGGCATTGTAAATATAGCAAACTCTGCATGTATGTGTGTGTTTGTGTGTGTGTGTGTGAGTGCACGCACATGCATGTGTGGTGGTGGTAGGGGCTGATGGAAGCAGGCTGGCCTCAGAGCACTTGAGCAGGCTGTATTTGTGGCCTACAAGGAAAGTCCATGTGGGGAGAGAGCTATGTTGCCTAGTGGAAAAAGCACTGCACAAGGATTTTTATGAACTGGCTTTGAATCCTGGCCCTACTACTTAGGAACTGTAGCCACTTAACACCTCAGTTGGCATTTCAATTACTAAAAGTGAGAATTCACTTCCTTATACTTCATGCCACCCAGGTATCTTATGAGAATCAAATAAAACACCACCTATGAAAATTGCTTTGGGCATTGAGGAGAGTTGTTCATTTGTAAGGCTTTATTGTGTAAACCACTGCTCTTTCTATCTGCCTCTGCTTGCCCTCTCTCACACAACTCGTGGTTTCTAGCATCCCGGAGGTGGTATAGTTCATGTTTAGTGCAAACATGTCTCTGCTTCATTTTCCATTTTTTAATTTATTCTCAACCATCAACCATTTCCTCCAGGGTCTCTCATGTTCTAGAAGCATGATTTGGGGAAAAGAGTATGAATTTTTGATTTACAGAGGGTGTGAATCCTGACTGTATCTGTACAGCTTTGAAACAGTCAGCTAACTTCTCTACACATTCAGTTTCCCTATCTGTAAAACAGAAATAATTTCCATGATTTATCGGGACTTGGCTGAGTGCTGGAGGGAACACATGGCTCAATAAATCAGCCATTATTTTCTTCAAGACATTTTCTCTGCCATCGAAGAGCTCACAGTTTGGAAATGGAGATAAGACTTTTAAAAAAGATTATTCTAAATCAGGGAGAGATTAACTGGCTGGGAGGGAGCAACATCTCAGTGATTGAGCAAGGCATGACTTAACTGAAGGCACCTAGCTGGTGAGCGGCAGAATGTAGCCTTGACTCCAAATTTCCTAGGGACTTTCCAACAAGGTAAACATCTTTAAGTTATGAAACTATTGTTTGGGCCTTGATTTTTAAGAAGATATTTAAGAATGTTTCCCGAAGTTAGTAAGTTTTCTGAACAAGAGAGGACATGGGAAATCCCACAGCAGTCTAAGGAGCATGGGCATAGTACTCATAGAATGAGAAGTGTGGTTTATTTTTTCCTTAAATAAAATAATTAAATGTTTTGCATGGAATTAAATGTTTCTGAGACGGAGAGTTCTGGCACCGAAAAGTTGTTTGATTTTACAACAAATGGTTAGTGTCAGAAAATTACTCATTGGTTGGCCAATCTAGGACTCTTTAGTGGTCTTGTCCTGGTTGACAGGAATGCAGGCTCTCATCCAGTCAGCATGATGCAGTTGTGTGTTGTTTCAGGTAGCAAATGTTATGTCCATTATGCAACAATCCTACTACAGTCAGCTTCTCTTGACTCTGCCTTCCTGCTTCTCTACCTTTCCCCACCAAATGCCCACAGCATGATTATATCTACCTATGTTTGGTTCTTATGCATGATGATGTCCTTGAGAGATCACCTTGAATATCATCATGAAGCAGGATGAAATAGGATTTTCAATGCCCTTCTTTAATAAGCCAAATAACAGCTCCCAAAGATAGCAGGCCCTAATTCCTGGAATCTGTAACTATTACCTTATTTGGAAAATGGTCATTGGCAAGTTGATTAAACAAAGGATCTAAAGATGGGGATATCATGGGTTTTCTGGGTGGGCCCTAAATACGATCACGGATGTCTTCTAAGAGAGCACCAGAGGGAGATTTAATATAGAACAAGAGGAGAAGACAATGTGACCACAGACATTAGAAGCAGATTGGAGTGATGCAGACATAGGCCAGGAATGCCAGTAGCCATTGAAGGCTGAAGGAGGTAAGGAAGGGTTCTCCTCACGAGCACCTGGAGGTGGCGCAGCCCTGCCAACACCTTGATTTCAAACTCTGGCCTCTAAAACACAGAGAATAAATTTCTGTTGTTTTAAACCACTAAGTTTGTGATAATTTGTTACAGGAACTATAGGAAATGAATACACCCTCTATCTCCTTTCTGTAACAATTCCTCCATTCTCAATACTACTGAGAATGTTTAAATGTTATTTTTAACAAAAGGTTTTATAAAATCAGCCCGTTTGCATTTTAGGACATCATGAGAGGCACCATGTTATAGTAAGTAGAGCTGGAAGGGCCCTCAGAGACCATGCAAACTTCTGATTGTAAACCAACAAGCCAGTAGAGAAGGTATTGTGCTCACGATCACTCAGTAAGTTAGTAGTATCATCAAGGCCTACGCCAAGAGTCAAGCCTCCTAACTTTGGTCAAGTGCTTTGTCCACCACAGATAAAGGGACATAGCTACCCCTTTATAATTGCTGAGGATTTCTGGCTCAGCAAGTAGGTAGGAGAGAACGTATTTAAGCTTGTTAGAAGAATGTGACTTTTTTAGTGAATTGTAGATTGGTCCTTTCACTCTGGTTAACAAAACTCATGAAACATTTTGGAGAATAGAAGACAACAACAGCTTTTTCTTTGAGAAACAGATGTGATTAAATATGTCTCATTTGGCAAGATATCCCTGATACACAGTGTGGTTACGTATGTGGACTGTGAGATCACAGGGCCTGGCTAGAATTCTGCCTCTGCTACTTTCTAGTGCTGTGAACTTGGGCAAGTTACTTTCCAGGAGCCTCAGGTTTTTTAGCTGCTAAATAGAGGTAGTAATAGTACTTGCCTCTGACTATTGTGAGGACTAAATAAGATGCTGTATGTAAAGTTGTCTTGCCCGGTGCCTGGCAATTAGCCAAGGCTCCATATTTTTAATCTATTATTATATAAGATAGTAAATTGTAGCAAAGTACATAGGATTTTGGCTTTTTAATATTTCTTGTTTGGACATTTTACAGTATAATCAGGAAAAACAGTAAAGATGAAAAGCAGGTCTGACTCACAGCAAGCAGAACCTGCCCTGAGGCTCCCTGGTCTCCAGTGCAGCAGCTGTTGACAGTATTGTCAGGCTCCCAGAACTGTTGGGAATCCTCGGACCTCTCTTCTGGGAAATGCGTGGCTATAAATGTTCATTAAATGAATAAATAAACAAGATCAAAGACAGCTTGATCCTGGGGGGAGTAAGGTGAGCCCATTCCTGTAACCTAAGCTCCAAGTTGTATGACGACCTGACATTGTCTAGAGGGCTCAGAGCTGGTAGTAAAGGAAACTGCACTCTCATCCCAGCTGAGCCACTCAGAGCTTGTGTCTGGGACATATACGCTCTTAAGCTTATTTTCTTCTTTCTCAAACACACAGCCCCCTCATAAGGCTCAAACAGGGTAAAAGATATAAAAGCACTTAGTAAGCAGATAGCAAATCAAAAAAGGACACTATTTTATAGCTTATCAATTACCAAGTTCAACAGAGGGTACTTCTGAAGTATATTTCAATTCTGTTGATTCTGTTCAATTTTCACAATATTAATTCATGTTCTCATTGCTTCCCTCTTGTCTGTTTGCATCATAGTTGGTCTTCCCAATTCTTGTGGTTTTTCTCTGTATATTCTAACTGAATAATCTTCCTTAAACACACCTCCTGCCATGATATTTCACCACTGAATCTGTCTATAGCTCTCATTCACTTATTATATGAAAAGGAAAGCATTTATCAAGGTACAGAGCCATCTGTTTTAACTAAAAAGCCCCAAAGGGAGCTGCGAACTTTGTTTTCCTGGCCCTATTGCTGAGATGCCATTCCTCTGGTCCCTAACAGGGAAGCTTTGAGTGACCCATCCTGCTGGAAAAAAAAGAAAAAAGGCTTTTGTTCCTGTTCCTTTGCCTTCAGTCCTGTTCCTGGCTTCTAATCCCAGTTTAGACCTGAAAAATGGCTACTGTAATTTGACCAGTTGCTGATCTTTTTCTTGAATATATTTCATACTTACCCTCTGGCTATCTCAGGTAAGTTTCCTTCTAGTTGATGGGCTGACATTCTCTGGACCTGTCCAGACTTTCCTATGAGAGGAAACAATTTGTTCTTTCATTCTACACATGTATCAAGTACCTAATGTATAGGAACTGTTCTAGCTGAATATGGTTCCTGCCTTCATGAAGCTTATAGCTAAGTAAAGAAAATAGGAATTGAAAAAGTTATTGTAAGTATGGTGAGTATTATTAAATAGGAAAAATAAAGATGCTGTAGAGACAGATAACAGTGGAACCCCTAACTTAGGTAGGGTGTCAGGGAAGCCCACCTTGAGAAACTGGCATTTATCTGAGACTTAAAGATAAATTGGAGTCAAAGAGCAGTAGGGAGCAGCATATGGGAAGATCTGTGGCCTCGACTGTACCTAGAAATGACCCCCTTTCTTCTTGCAATCACTCAGAACAGAAAGCCTCAGGGCATCCCCTGGAAAGTCTATTGATATCAAGTTGCAGCTAAATTTGGACTGGCTGGCGGCAGCACAGTGCAGTGGCATGAACACTGAACAATCAATCATACAGTTCTACCTCTGTCACTGTGGGCTGTGGGATATTTGGTAAGTTGCTTACCAAATAAATTGCTGATGCATAATTTCCACATCTGTAAAACACAAATGATAATGCTTCAGGGTCATTGTGAATGACTTATGAAATAATGAACATGAAAGCACTTTGCAAACTGCCAACCATATGAATTAAAGGGAGGAGGTTGGTTGTAGGGTGTCTAATCCAGCCTACTGAGATGGAACAAGGAGCAGAAAATGCAGATCCTATTGGGAGCCAATTCTTTCAATGTTTTATGCCATC
Source organism: Homo sapiens (assembly GCF_000001405.40). Taxonomy (NCBI): domain Eukaryota; kingdom Metazoa; phylum Chordata; class Mammalia; order Primates; family Hominidae; genus Homo; species Homo sapiens. Next base: position 56,198,959 of record NC_000001.11, on the reverse strand, counting down.
TTAGAACTTTAGGAGTTTCATGTATGTTATGAATACATATGCTTCATATATGTTATTTAGAGCAGTAAGAGCTATTTTTAAAATTTTATCTACACAGCCATGTTGTCCCAAAGGAGACAGCCCTCTTTTTAAGTGATATCACTGAAATTCCAGTTGCCTGGCTTAATGGAACCTAGTATCTTTGTAAGTCTCTGGGACTGGAATGGTTGTGTCCTGCCCTGTGTTATATGACATCATGGGTGGATTGTTTGTGCCACTCTTTTGCCAACAAAAGTCAACAACTTTCTATAGACTCAATGGCCAATTATAGGCTGGCAGAGAACAGCTGGCTTGGTCTTTACAGAAATTGCTTTGCATTTTGAGTAACAAAACTATGCAATTGGCACTAGTATGGAGCCAAGAGCACCAAGCACCACATGGGCTCTGGAATGACTGTAGGCTTCTGGGAGGTATCGAGCATTAGCACCATAGACATCAGCCATATTTTTAGTGTGATGACATGGCAGAGAGATTCATGGCCTAATCTCTGGATGCCCACCAGTTACTTTCTTTGGACCATTTATAAATGAAACTCAGAAAAATTAACACTCACAGTGCTCTTTTGCCAGTTAATCATTGGTCACTCCTAGCTTGAGGTACAATTGCTCTTTTAGTTGCTAGTAAGCAAAGGTGGCACAGGGAGCCCAGCCACTGAATGGACCTCAGGCAATAGAGAATGTCTGGGGATGACTGTTTTCTCTGCAATCTGATTGCTTAATAGTGCATACATACAGGTATGTTATGAAGGTTAAATTTTTCCTACAGGTAATGCACCAGCATGGTGCCCAGACACGATAAATGCTCTGCATACGTTACTTATGACTATCATCAATTGGGCATGGGAAATATGGTCTAAACCTTTAGAACAGCATCCTTCTCTTTGTGTTTCACACAGTGTTTCCTCATAGCCCCTTTGGATTGATTGAGCACCAGAACTGCTTTCCTAGTTATGAAGGCCAAATCCCAAGAGAAGAAAGGGCATTAGGGACAGGCCATCCTTGGAATTTGAAATGGCAAATGACCAAATGCCCAGCTTTTGCATGTGTGTATGTGTGCATTGTGTGATTTGTGTGTGTGGTATGTTTTGTATGTGTGTATTGTGGTGTATGTGGTGGTGTGTGTTTGGTGCAGTGTGTAGGTAATGTGTGTAGTATGGTGTGTTTTGTGTATGTGCTATGTGTGTATGTATACCACACATTTGAAATGGGACTTTTCCACTGACAATCTCTAAAGGCCATTCTGCCTATGAATTCTGTTAGCATGGTACTAGCACTAAAAGAGCTTAGAGAAGGGAGAGGCTGACAAGGAGGAGAAAGAATTTGTGGTCTCCAACCAGTCCAGGACCAATTCCCATTTAGTATCTGCTATATTATATAATTTAACCTCACAATTATCCTGTGAGATACAGGTTAGTACTCCTGTTTTATAATGGGAACACTGAGGACAGGAGGTGAAACAATTGTCCAAGGTAATATGACTAGTAGGAGATAGGGCCAGGTACTGACCTGGTGATGCAAAGTCAACCAATCTGAGGGAATAACAAGTCCAGGCAACAGGATGATTAGAGCTTAGGGGACTATAGCCACAGGATGTGGACAGTGAAATTTAAAAACTAGTGTTAGACCCTGGAGACTCTACTGGAGGTCTTAAGGGAGCAATTTTCTTCAAAGGCCTCTTATTTTGGTCTTCTGAGAAAACTAAGAGGGAATAATAGAGAAATCAGTCCCCAGAAACAGACCATTCCTGATACTCTGTATTCAACAGCAAGAGGCTGGGCCAAGTCAAGAATATTTGTGATTAAATTCCCTTGGGGTCACTTTCCAAGGACAAGTTTTAGATTCTATGTTGGACAAGAGTTGGGCCTTTTTTTTCTTTATTGTTGCGCCTAGACTTTGATTGCTATCTGCAAGGGAAACAGACAGTGGAAACTATTTCATGGGGACTGATGAGAAAAACACATTTTTACAGTGCCCTGAATAGCAATGCATGGTGTTTGAAGTCATTATCATAATAATGGGTAAGGTGGAAGGAAGAAAAGACACCACAACTGACTTTAAAAAAAAGAGAGCGAGAGAAAAAGAAAGAGAGGAGGGAGAAGAAAGGAGAGGGGGAGAGAGAGAGAGAGAGAGAGAGAGAGAGAAATAATTATAAAAGTCAGACTGGGAGTTGATTGCTGGTAAGAAATTTCCACTGAACATTAAGCTCTTCCTGATCTTTCTTCCTGCCTCCTGGCTGGGCTGTATGATGGAAGAAAATATATGTGATTAGGTGTCTCCTGGATGCAGCATAATCAGGGCCTGCCAGGGAGTGCCTCATCAGTTCCTTTATTTCTTTATTCTTCATTCACTAATTCATTTTATTATTTCTTCATTCATGCACACATTCTTTGGACACTTCCTAAGTGTCAGGCTAGGAACTTAGTATTAAGACAGCAAAGATGAGTCAATAAGACAAAGCTTCCCAGTCTAATGAAGAAGAATAAATGTAGATAATTATAGCCTGTGTGATAATGCTAGAGTAAAGGTAGAGAGAAATAGTAGGAAGGAAGTAGAGAACAGAGTCTCTAATTTTCACTTTGTCATACCTGTTTTGTGCTAGGAATATAGAACAAACAGAATGTTCCCTGCCTTTTCCAGACCTCACAGTCTAGTGGAAAAATGGCCATTCTGGAAGGAATTTTTTATTTTTATTTTTTTTGAGACAGGTTCTCACTCTGTCACCCAGGCTGGAGTGTAGTGGTATGATCTCATCCTACTGCAGACTTGACTTCCCAGGCTCAAGTGATCCTCCCACCTTGGCCTCCTGAGAAGCTGGGACCAGAGACATGGGCCATGGGCTCAAGCAATCTTCCCATCTCGGCTTCCCAAAGTGCTGGGATTATAGGTGTGAGTCACCACACCTGGCTCTAGAAGGAACTTGAATCAACAACCCTAAACCCATGGAAAATAAAATATTAGCTACTGGCAGGCTCAATGAGTGAGAGATATAAGAAGACAAAATTTTCTAGCCCTCAGCATTCAAGGAGAGTTCAATAAAAAGCTGAGAGACTTACAGTGGCTGAACTTGGTGTCTCTTGATTCAAGGTCTCTTGATCCACTGGGTAGATGGTATTGTTCTTTATGGAGGTGGAGAACATTGAAGGGAAAAATTTGTGGGAAAAAATGTTAATCTCCATTTTGGACACACCTGGCTTGAGATGGATATAGCACATCCAAGTAAAGATGTGAAGATGACAGTTGTATATATGAGGCAGTAAGTCAGAAGAAAATGTAGTTTGGAAATATAAATTTGGGAGTTGTTATTCCCAACTTTGGGAGATCATTGAAAACAAGAACTCTGATGAAATAATCTCGACAGCGGTCATATGGGTAGTCAAAGAGGTTTGTAGATAACTCCCTAGAACTTGAGGACAGTAGAATCACAAGAACTCTGGCTGAAGTGGTTATTTAAAGAATCCAGCAATTTATTTGGTGCAACTATATGCATCAGTTCTGTACTCAAGAGGGACCATTTGGTCATCCAACTCAATTCCTACTCAATGCAATAATCCTAGGATGGGGGACACCCAGACCGTAGAAATTTAGGACATGCTCAGGGTTTCCTGAGAGCTTATAGCAGAGGTGAGACTGCCATCTTGTACCCTCTCTCCCATCTTGAGTGGGCTTTGTCCATCTGTTGGCCAAACATTTCCCTATTTCTAAGGAAAGAGTCTGGGAGATGTATGAATTAGAACTTTTTACAAGTCAGTCTGCTATTGCAACATAACTTAACTCTATTGCAACTTAACTCTCATGAGTTAAGTGCAAATGAATCAGAACCAGATGGACAAATTTTTTGAAAACAATGTGTTTAAAAGTGGAGGAGAAAGAAGAAAATTGTTGGCAAAACTCTCAAAGATCTGTGGCTACATCTTATGTGAAACACTTTGCCCTGCTTTTAGCTATTTCCATCACGGGAGAAAATGACATCTCAGAACTCCAGGGGAAGTAGGGTGGTGAGAGTAGGGATGGTACCCACCATCCTATAACTAGTGTGACTTTCTTTATTCCTGTTTTCTCTGAGGTCATTTTTGGCAGGCAAATGAAGTTTGGATGAATAAAGCCATCATAAGGAATCAATTCTGTAGAAAAATCCAGGCATAAACTTTTAACATGCATTTCTCTTTGACTATTATAAGATTCAAATTTTCAGATTCAACTAAGGTCTCTTGAGTCCTTATTAAAAGCAAAATTTTGTGCTAAGCACTTGCATGGCTCTTCCCTCTCTTTGTCAATCCAATGAAGTTGCAAGGTGACAGGATTATGAACATTTCACAGATGAGTGATCTCAGGCTCTGAGAAATAAAGGGACTTGTTCAAGGTCACACAGCTAGAAAGCAGTAGAGCTAGCTATGCTATCCAACACAGTAGCCACTAGTCACATGGTGCTAAACAAATTTAGATTAATTAACTCTAAACAAAATTAAAAACTCAGTTGCTCAGTTGCACTAGTTACGTTTCAAGAGTCCTACTGTCACACATGGCTATTGCTATTCTATTGAAAAGTGCAGCTAGAGAACATGTCCATTATTATAGAAAGTTCTACTGTACAGTGCTGCTATAGAGCCTGGGTTTCAACTATTATCTTTATGACAAATTCTGTGCTCCTTCCATTATACTAACCTGAGTTGTCTCACATAATGCAAGCCTCTAAAAAGGAAGACAACTTCTCCTGAACACAACTAGAAACTTTCTCCTCACCCTGGTTAGAGTATGCCCGGAGACTCAGGCTGATTCTTTATGAAGTCTGCTTTGTCCTTTATGAGGCCACTGTAGAACAGCTATGGACTAGGACTCACATGGAAAGGGAGGAGAGGGAATGGGTTGGCTATACTGCTCCCCCACTGGGCTCACCTACATTTCAGGGGTATCCTGGGACTGAGGCAGAGGCTTTCACCTGGGGCAATATTAACACTCAGCAAAATTAGGAAGGAGGATGAAGGAATCAGCATGGTGGAGTGGAAATATGGTGCACATTTAGTCAAAAAGATTTGGATCTGAATTCATAGCCGTGTGGCCTGGGGCAAGTTGTGAAGAGGGGATGGTGCCATCTGCTTTACAGGTATGTGAGGATTTAGGTGTCATAGCTGCTATCAGATCCTCAGCACAAAGCTAGGTCCCTCCACTTTGGTCAGTTGTGCCCTGCTCTCACCACCCCTTTCCTTGCCATCAGCCCTCATAGTGTCAAAGAAAACACTCTTTGATTTGAACCCTTCCCTCTCATTTTCAAAACTATTTGTCAGGAAAGCTGCTGCTATTATCCTTTAAAATATGTATGAATTATAGTAACCTTCTCAGATGTATCTTTCTCTCTTTTTTTGGGGGGGGGGTGGCGTTTAACTATTGTTTAATCTTGGAAAAGTGAGCTTATTTATTTATTTATCTTAGACGGAGTCTCGCTTTGCCACCAGGCTGGAGTGCAGTGGCGCGATCTCGACTGACTGCAATCTCCACCTCCCGGGTTCAAGTGATTCCCCTGCCTCAGCCCCCTGAGTTGCTGGGACTACAGGCACATACCACCATGCCCGGCTAATTTTTTTGTATTTTAGTAGAGACGGGGTTTCACCATGTTGGCCAGGATGGTCTCGATATTCTGACCTCATGATCCGCTTGCCTCGGCCTCCCAAAGTGCTGGGATGCCAGGCATAAGCCACCGCACCGGGTCGAGCATCTTTATTTTAAATCTCACATAAAGATAGGTTTGGGGTTGGGTAATCGGAGAATGACAATCAGATTTACTTAGGCAAAATTAATAAATTTTAATCTGGGAATATTTCCTCTGCTCTTATTTATTAATTTGTTTATATATCAGTATTGCATTCCACCCTACAAAGTATTCATAGCAACTTACTCAGTATGGCTCTATTAAAATAGTAAAGTATAAATTAAAAATATTTAATATTCAGAAACTAGGACAATATAAATTAGAATAGAAGGTTAAGATCACAGAGAACAATACAACCTCGAAATGGAGATCATAAGGGAAGATACGACATTGAAATAATGAAATTACACAATTCATATCATTAACCAGTAGTCAAAAATGTCATAGTCATCCTTATATTTGACTAAGAGTTCATGGAATTATACACAGAACCTGCCACATGATAGAAATTTTGCGAATATTTCTTGAATGGTGTGAGAAAAATGAGCCTCCAAGAGGTGCAATGATTTGTGAAGGTCACCCAACTGGTTAGCAACAGAGGCCAGATTCAGGTTCTATGGCTCCTGATCCTAATTCGTCGCCCTTTTGAGGGATCACAACTCACACTTACTCAACAGGAGAAACGTACAGTATATGAGGCTTTTTATTTCTGGGATACTTCTATTGAGCTCCCCAGCACTTGAGAAGTGGGCATTGTTTCCCCGTATTGCAGATGAGAAGTGACTTACACAAGGTGACACAACTTATAAGGAACATAGTAAGCATTTGAATTCTGGTGGTTTCACTTTATGTCCAGTGTTCATTCCATCATAACCTAGGTCTTTCTCTTTTGCACTGTTCCCAAAGTTGCAAAACTAAAAATAAAAACAGAAATGCAGTATTTCCAAATTAGGGCATTAAACATCTATGGGTGATCTGTGAGGTGATATTTTCAACTTCTTATGACAGGGAAAGGAACTCAAGGAAGTCCGCTGGTCAGTAACTCTTGCAGACTCTTGGAACAAATGCCATGATATTTGCTTTAATTAAAGAGCATTTAAGTTCTGAATGTCCACTCAGGGCTGATTTCAGGCTAAGCCTGTGTGTCTTGGTGTGCAGAGCACGTGCAAAGGAGTCAAGAAATGCCCTTGGCCATGTCACCAGGGCTGCTTAGTGGCACCATCAATGCAGCTGTCTCCAACTGGTTATTCCTTTTCTTAAGGACACTGCTGGGGAGGGATGTGCTGATGTGTTTGTGTGTGTGTGTGTGTGTTTGTGTGTGTGTACTAGTGTGATTTTTTTTCCCCCAATGGCTGTCATGCGTTTTATGATCTTCACAGATGTAAGACTTCACCATGAAGAGAAGGGAGGGGAGAAAGGCTATTATTTGGGAGAGGGGGAGAATAGGTGAAATGGATGGGAGGCAGGAAGCAGAATTGTGTAGATTTAATTGGCCTCGTTTTATAGCAGTTAGCTCTGTTTTCACGGGGTAGCGATGAATAGGCCCATAACGGTGAACTGTTTTTCACTATTATTAGTCCAGGAGATGAAAGTTTCATTGTTATTCTTCCTTGGAGCTCAGGAGGCCACTCCAAATATTAACTCATTTTAGCCTCAGGGACTCAGAATTTCAGTGGAACCATTTGAACTTGGCTCAGTTTATAATAATGATCCCGTATGTTTGTAAAGTGATTCAGCTTACAAAGCATTGCACCATCTTATCCCAACTGCTGTTTGAGCTTCAAAATAATCCTACAAAGTATCCAGTGAAGATGATTATTCCCATTTTCTTAACAAGGAAACTGAGGCCCAGGGAAGTTAAATGGGTTTCTAGACACACAGGCAATACCAGACTTAGAAAGGAAGAAAAGGACACCACTATTTGCTGATTGTCAACTCTATGCCACCCACTGTGTTGAAAGAAGACTCTAAATCCCAGAGAGAGGTTTTATTTGGCCTGAAGTCATTCCATGCAGGACCCGCCAATGACTGCGGGGCTAGAATCAGAAACTGAGCCTGCTTGCCACTAAACTAGTGCTGCCTTCCACAAACTCTCTGTGAATCACAGCCATGGCGCAAGCTTTGAAGGGAGAAAGACGTCGGCACTGATTACCCCAAACCACTGACAAATCAAACATTATGGAAATCAGGACTCACCACTGAATAATAACTCACATGTGTAAGGCATTTGCAAAGGCGCTTTGCAGTCGATGCTTCTTTAACCCTCACAACAATCTTATGAGCTAGATAGTATTATTATTCCATTTCACAAATGAGGAAGAGGAGGCTCAGCAAGGGGAGTAACTCATCTAAGGCCACACAGTTAGTGGGTGGCAGAGCTGGAGTTCTAACACAGCCCTGTCTGACTCTTAAAGAGGGCCCCTGTTGAATTCCTGTTTCCCACAGGCTAATTCCTGTTTCAGTTAGGACATTTCTGTGGTCCTATGTCTTAAATTTAACCTACCCCCATCCTACCCTCATAACCTGCAACATAAAGTTCAAACTGCTCAGCCCAAAGTTCAAAATCCTCCAGTTTTTCAAAATCGTCTCCCTTTACCTTTCAGGACACACCTCAGACTCCAGCTATGTGCCAGTGGATGCTTTTTCTCTGACTCCCCCTGAGTCCCTGCTGCCATTGATCTTTGATTTTCCAGTTCGTTGTATCTAAAGCAGCATTTTCTTCCTGCTTCCTCTTTGAGTTCCTCTTTTAAGGATCACCTTCAATGCCATCAGTTCCATATACCCTTTTAGGACCCTGGTATTAGGTGTGCTGGACCCCTGTATGCTCTCTTATGGCCCAGATTGTAATGCTTCTCTTGTCTCCCTCATTCCTCCCCTGATCCCTCCTTGAATGACCAGGCAGGGTCTCATTGCTTCATCCTCAGACTGACCATGGTGACTGACACACATTGGGCACACAGTAGACATAAAATGAGCATTGTCTTTAGGTACACAAACACTGACAAGTACCATAATACGTAAGTGGCTTCGCATCATTCCTGCCCTTGATGTGGTAGAACTATTCAGGGCTTTGAAATCAGATCGATCCGAGTTCAAATTCCAGCATACCTACTTCTGCACTACGTAACCTTGGGCAATTACTTATTCGGGCCTCCTGATCCTCAGTTTTGTCCTCTGTTGAAATCATGACAGCGCCACCTTTCTTGCAGAGGCAGTAACTGTGAGATTGAATAAGACAGAGAACAAGCATTCAAGACAGTGCTTGGCACAAAGAGAGCGCTTAGGGAATGTTCATTGTTAGGCAGAGCTATTATTATTGTCGTAGTTTATAATATCTCCCAGCAATGAGATCGGATTTCCTTTGGATTTAGGAGTGCATGCAATTGTGTTGCTTTAGAGTTTACCTCCTTGCCTTGACTAACACTTTACTCTTCTGTTTCACTTCTGCCATTTCCCATGTTTGTATCACTGTTGCTGGTATTATGTATTTAGAGTTGTGGCTTCGTAAACTGTTTCTTAAAATATTCCTGTGCTCTAAGAGGCAGCATACTGGGGAAAGAACACTAGGAAGAAAAGAGAAGGGGAGACAGGGAACAGGGGTGGAATCTGTTCCTTAAGAAATCCACTTAACCTCCCTGGGACTTGTTTGTGTTATCTGCAGATTGAGGAATATTTGGCAAGACAGGGTGTAAAATCGCTTGCAGCTTCAATGCACTGCATTTAAAAACCTGTTACTTTCCTATCTTGAGACACCAAAATGCTCTTAGACTTGAAGATGACTATGTATGCAAGTGCATCCCTCCCACCCTCCTTCCCAAACAAACACACACACAAACACAAACACACCCCAAATGCTCTGAGAAAACCCATGGTTTTGTTGTTTGAACATGTTGTTTTCTTTAACCAAGTGGTTGTTTGCAAACGTTTTCTGATTGTAACAGCAGTGAGGGCACCTCTCTTAGAGAAGACTGAGTTCTTTCTCTTTGAAAGATGCTGTTTACTGAAATAAATTCCACCTCCTTCTTTGTTTGGCTTTTTCTTTGTAAACAATCAAAACCAACTGGCAAAGTCGGGGAGCTTGTTTTAGTCCATTGTGGCATCTGGCTTGATTTCTTTTTTTTTTCCTCCTAATCTGAAGTACAGACACTATTGTGAGCCCCAAATTCCTTTGCAAGAGGCAATTAGTTCCGTAAGCATTTACCAGTGGTGCACCATGCACCAAGCACTGTGGGGAAAAAGAAAGATCCTTTTGTTGTTGAGCTCAGGAACAAGGAGGGTCAGGGCTGGGAGGAGCATTAGAAACCATCTAGTCCAGGGTCCCATATGTGTTTTCACAGAATGCTTGTGCCATGAGTAGTGCCTCAGAAAATGCCTAGGTGGCTGATGACGTTGGAAGAAAATAAAAGGTATACATAGCTTACATAGACTCTAATCAGGATTCATAATGCACCTGAGTATATAAAAATTTCTGAAATCTGCAGTTTAAAAATTATCTTCAATTTTGCTTAATTCTGAGCCTACCAAATATATATGATGAGGTAACTGGTGTGCATGTACGTGTGCATGTGTAAGCATGTGTGTGTGGGTAACGCTAATTAACCACAGAGTGAATTTGTACCCAGGCATTTTGGATACAAAAACCCCACCCACTCCCTACTTCACCAGCTGTACCTGCTAAAAAGTTGGCAATCGAGGTGGAACCCACCAGCTGCATCTGGCTCACTCGCTTTTGGGGTTTGGCATTTGTAGTCTTAGAACCAGGATGCTTTACATTTTTGAACTATTTACCAACATTTAGAAGTTGGGAGTTTTCTTATAAAAAGCCAAGATTCTTGCAAAATTGGGAGATCTGGCAATACTGGGCCACAATTTATCATGGTGACAGCAGGAACACAGCTGTTCCCCTTGGAGAGCACACTGGCTCTCCAGCTCACCACATTCCTGCCCAGGTTGACTCCACTAGCTGGTGTCATAGGCTTGGTCCTTGTAGGCATTTGAGCTGACAACCCCTGGTTCAAAGCACATCCTAACGAGGCCATATCTTTTCTCCTTGTATTCTCTTGCTTTTCATTCTCAAGAGGTGATTGGTGTCTTTGATGAGGGCATCTTTTGGCAGATGAAACCCAATGGCTTCCTGACATAGATGAACCACTGGCTATTACAAGAAAAGAGAAAATATATTAAGAGTATATTTTGTGTTGACCTGTGTTTTTAGCAAGGATTTCCTTATTTAATCTTCGTAACAAACACAATGTGGGTATTAGGATACTACTTTTTGAGATAAATTGAAGCCCAGAGTGATAGGTATAACTTGCCCAAAATTATATAGTTTATAAGTTAAAAAGCTAGGGTTTGAATACAGAAAAGATGCTCTTAACCACTATACTACATTTCATAAAGAATTGTTTTACATAAGCAACATCATTTTATTTTTTGAAACATTTTATTTTGAACTAATTTTAGACTTACAGACAAGTGGAAAAAATAATACAAAGAATTCTGTTATCTACCTGTTCCACCTAATGTTAATATCTTAAATAACCATAGTACAATTATCAAGTGATGAAAATGAACATTTGGTACAATATAATTAACTCAACTACAGGCCTTTTTCTAATTTCACCCATTTTAACACAAATGTTTTTCCCTGTCTGTTCCAGGATCTTGTCTAAGATCTCAGATTGCATCCAGCTGTTATTTCTCCTTTGTCTCTTCCAGTTTGCAGCAGTTCTGCTTTCGTTGTCTTCATGAGCTTCACAGTTTTAATAAATACTGATTAGGTATTCTATAGAATGTCTCTCAATTTGGGTATGTCTAGTATTTTCTCATGATAGGAATGAGGTTATACATGTTTGTAGCAATACTAAGAAAAAATGTTGTGTCCCTCTTACATCTAGGAGTTTATGCTATTGATTTGTATTATTGCTGGTAATGTATTTTTTCTTGAAATACAGAATAATCCCTGCATTTTTTTTTAATTTTTTGCTGGTAATGTATTTTAATCACTGGGTTAAGTTGGTATCTGCTGGGTTTCTCTACTATAAAGTTACCATTTTTTCTTTGCAGTTGATACATTTCTTGGAAAAGATAATTGGAAATTATGCAAATCTTCTTTCTCCTCAAACTTTTGTCTACTAATTTTAGCATCTTTTCGTTGACTTTATCTGCAACATTGTGCTTTTATTGCTTTTAGAAAAAGAATTACAAAATGAATAGAATATACTAGAAGATTACAGTAAGAATCAAGATTTTAATGCAAAATATTTGAAAGCTACTTCTTTACTTAATAATAAATATTGCCTTTGATTTCATAATGGAGTTAACATCATAATTTCGCATGAATAAATTTTGAGACTATGAGCAAACACTTATAATTCAGAATCTATTTTCTTATTTTTAATAGGGACAACAATAATAATTGAAAATATTGCTGCAGAAATAGAAAGTCATTAAGAGTAGCTGCTCTAGTCAGACTACCTGGGCTGGGAAGCGTGAAAATGTCACTCACTAACTATGGGTCTTTTAGTAGGTTATGTAACTAGTTATGCCTCAGTTTCTCATGGAACCAACGTGAAGCTTAAATAAGATAATAGATGTCAAATACTTAGCACAGCCCCTGGCATATAGTAAGTGATTGACATATATTCATTAAATTTGAATTTAATGTATTCAACCACTAACCTTAGATGTAACACTTAAGAAATATAAAGGGTCTGCAATTTTTCCCTGCTTGCAAAGTAATACAGGTTACTCTGCCTGTTTCATGGATGCTGACAGAAGTCACAAGACTCTGAGACCAGAGACAAAGGACTTTTACCCATCATACAGCAAACAGCATGAGCTTCTTGTTCTCATCGGCAACGCTTGTCTTCCAAATACCATGAGGGCGATATAGAGTGGCCCACATAGAGGGGTTTCTTCACTAATGAGGAATCCTGAGCTTGGGAAATCTTTCTCTTTTATATTGGAAAGCAAAAATCCTGCTCTCTACTCCAGAGAAAGACACCGTCTCTGTCTTCTGAGGTTGTTTACTATATAAGTATCCTTGAAAACATAGCCCAGAACAAAAGATGTCAGTGCCTTTGCTCAGAAGACATGTGGGAACAGGAGAGAACCATGGAGAATTGTCTCCTAACAGCACTGAGCAATGTTTGATGCTTTCTTTGTAAAACAGCAAATTGATCTGTAGGGATTTTTACCAGCTTTCCAGAAAAGGACAGAAATTAGTATATTTAGTTAATTCTGTAATGACTCCTGTTTTCTTAAGACTCTTCGTTTCATTTGCTACTGTATTTCAGCTTCTGTAGAGCTTTCCAATATATAAATCCTACATTAATGCTTTTTTTCCTTCTAACAAGGCAATGTAAGATTCCAACCACTGATTCTAGGCTGATTCTTAATTGTGTCTCAGAGCAACCAGCTCCTGAATCAATGTTCTATCTTGTCCATATGGAGAAAACTATCTTCTCTATATATTTGAGATGGGCTTTAGTAAGGGTAGGGGATGCCTATGGACATAAAACATAACTCCAACTCTGCCCAGCTCCCGCTGTGACTCCTTTCTGCTTTTAACAGTGGAGGCTTTTAAAGCGTCACATCTGTTTCTAATCACTTCCTTTAGTCTTTTTCTGTATGATCAACTCAACAACCTGACTTGTAAAGGGGTCTAGACTATCTTGTAAGACACCCAACATATGTTTTAAAAAATGCCCATTTAATATGTCATTTGAAAAACAAACACACAAACACACTATAAAATTTTCTTCAGTGTTTACATTCAAGACAGAAAGAATTAACCGCCCTTTTATGGACATGGAATTTACTGTCTAAATCACAAGAAAGATGTTTAAAGCAATATATTTTGCTTTTTAAAAGAAAATATTTTTTAAACTATGAACATTTCATACATAGAAAAGAGCATAGAAAATAATCTAGCAGACATCTATTATATATGACAAAAATTGAACAGACATTAACATCTTGACATATTCGTTTCAGCTCTCTCTTATAAAAGAGGAAAAAGGAAAGAAACAGTTAAGCACAATACTCTCCTCCTTTTTCAAAGGTGTAACTTCTGTTATGTGTGCTTTAAAAATTATTATAAATAATATCACATTGGAAATATTCTTTTGCTAGATACCTTTTGCATTCATCATTATATTTTGGTCACTTATCTCTGTTGATATATTTTGATATCGCTTGTTAATTTTAAAGAATTTAGGCCGGGCGGGGTGGCTCATGCCTGTAATCCTAGCACTTTGGGAGGCCAAGGCAGGCAGATTGCTTGAGGTCAAGAGTTCAAGACCAGCCTGGTCAACCTGGTGAAACACGATCTCTACTAAAAACACAAAAATTAGCTGGGTGTGATGGTGGACGCCTGTAATTTCTGCCTCCCGTGTTCAAGCAATTCTCGAGCCTCTGCCTCCCACTGAGGTTGCGGTGAGCTGAGACATGCCACTGCACTCCAGCCTGGGCAACAGAGCGAGACTCTGGCAAAAAAAAAAAAAAAAAAAAAAATTTTTTTTGATACTTTAAGTTCTGGGGTACATGTGCAGAACATGCAGTTTTGTTACATAGGTATACACGTGCCATGGTGGTTTGCTGCACCCATCAACCTGTCACCTATATTAGGTATTTCTCCTAATGTTATCCTTTTCCTAGCCCCCCACCCCCAGACAGACCCCAGTGTGTGATGTTTCCCTCCCTATGTCCATGTGTTTTCCTTGTTCATCTCCCACTTATGAGTAAGAACATGCGGTATTTGGTTTTCTGTTCTTGTGATAGTTTGCTGAGAATGATGAAAACCCCCAAATTTTAAAGAATGTGATAGGTTAGGAACTGAATGAACTCTGTCATCAGATTCTGGGTTCAAACTCTGAGTCTACTGTTAAGTAAGTGTGATGTGCTCAACATCAATTTGCATAGGATCTTTGGGTCTTGATTTCCTTATACATAAAATGTCAACAATTATATCAACATTATCAAGTAGTTGTGAAGATCAAAGGAGGAATGCATCTAGAGTGCACAGAATAGTGTATTCATTTCTAGGGCTCCCATAACCACCCCCACAACCCCATCCCAGGCTGGATGGCTTCAACAGAAGTTTATTTTCTCACAGTTACAGAGGCCAGAAGTCCAAGATCAAGGTTTCAGCAGGTCTGGTTTCTTCTGAGGCCATTTTCCTTAGCTTGACGATGCCTGCCCTCCTGCTGGGGCCTTACATGGTACTTTCTCTGTGTGTGTGCATCTCCTGGTGTCTCTGTATTTGCCCAAATTTCCTTTCCTTATAAGGACAGCAGTCAGATTGGATTAGAGTCCACCCTAATGGTCTCATGTTAATGTAATCACTTCTTTAAAGTCTCTATCTCCAAATATAATCATATTCTGAACTGGAGGGTTAGGGCTTCAACATATGAATTTTGGGGAGACATAATTCAACCCATAACACATAGGTATTATTCTTGGTTTATGTTATTTGTATGCTTCTTAGTTTATGTTATTTGTATGCTCCTTAGTTTATGTATGCATCCAGCCCCCCATCATCACCACTGAGAAATATTTGGTTTCCTACTTTTTAACAATTCTAAAAAGTTCATTTTTGTATAAGTAACTTTGGACATATGCAAGATAGTTTTCTTTCTTTTTTTCTTTTTTTAGGAGAGAAATCTAGAAGTGGAATTGCTGAGCTGTAGAGTATGTGAATCTCTACAACTTTCAACTTTACCATGTATTGTCAAATTGCTCTCCAAAGTGATGGTACCAATTAATGATACTACCAATAAGGTATGATACGTTTTTCCCCACATCCTTGTCAACATTAGGTGTTACCAGATTTATTAATGCTGGCCAATTCCTTTTTATTTTGAGACAGGATGTCCCTCTGTCACCCAGGCTGGAGTGCAGTGATGCAATCTTGGCTCACTGCAACCTTTGCCTTCTGGGCTCAAGCGGTCCTCTGGCCTCAGCCCTCCAAGTAGCTAGACCTAAAGGCAGGAGCCTACAAGCTGGGCTAGTTTTTTAATTTTTTGTAGAGATGGGGTTTTTCTATGTTGCCCAGACTAACTCCTGAGCTCAAGCAATCTGCCTATCTTGGCTTCCCAAAGTGCTGGGATTACAGGCATGGGCCATCGTGCTCAGCCATGTTGGCCAATCTTAATGCTACATCATGAATTTGAGGGCTATCTCATTGTTTTAATTTGCATTTTTCTGATTTTTAATTAATTAATTTTTGCTAATATGAATCTGGTAAATAATTTTTGAGTGTCTTCTCATAAACTTTTCACTTAGCCTCTTCGCTTCCCATTAACCAACAGTTCATACCCTTTGGCTATTTTTCTGTTTATCTTTATTCTATAAACTCAAAAGAGATCTTTATATGTTCTGACTAGTAATGCTTGGTAAAATACGTGGGTTGTGATTATACTTTTTTAAGTCTACAGCTTACATTTTTATTTAATGATATCTTTTGTCATACAGAAGGTTTGATTTAAATGCATTATAATTTAATAAAACTGTATTATAAAGATTTGTCCAGTAAATTTTGATGACTACCTACCATATGTTTTTTTTGAGACGGAGTCTCACTCTGTCACCAAGGCTGGAGTGCAGTGGCGTGATCTTGGCTCACTGCAAGCTCTGCCTCCTGGGTTCACGCCATTCTCCTGCCTCAGCCTCCCGAGTAGCTGGGACTACAGGCGTCTGCCACCACGCCCGGCTAATTTTTTGTATTTTTAGTAGAGATGGGGTTTCACCATGTTAGCCAGGATGGTCTAGATCTCCTGACCTTGTGATCCACCTGCCTCGGCCTCCCAAAGTGCTGGGATTACAGGCGAGAGCCACCGCGCCTGGCCGACTACCTACCATATGTTAAAAACTGGGCTAGGTGCTGGGACTTTTGGAAAGTTGTAATTCTTATCTGACAACTGATTGTCTAAAGGGATGATAGTCATATATATTAGAGATGGTAATATAATGTAAAAAATACTGAAACTGAACTCTCGATTCCCTCTTCTCCTAATGCTCTCCATCTTGGTAAATGTCATTGCCAGTTGCTCCATTGCTTAGGCAAAATACTTGAAGTGATCTTTCACTCTCTTTCACACTTTGCATCCATCCATGAACAAATCCTGTTATGCTCTATCTTCAAAATATATTCTGAATCTGACCACTTCCCACCACTCCACTACTACCACTGTCAAGCCACCATAATTTCTCTCCTCAACTATTGAAGCCATTTGTAACTGGTCTTTCTGTTTCTATACTTGCCACCGTAAATTCGTAGTAGACCAGCAGAGGGATTCTGTAAAAGAGAAGTCGGGTGATTAATTCTCTACTCAAGCTCCTCCAGTGGCTTCCATAAACATGTAGAATAAACTCAAAGTCCTTCCTGTGCCCATCTTAGTCTGTACGTTGGTCTCTTCTCTGCCTTTGTGTCCTCATATTCTTTGCCTTGCTCATTCCATTCCAGACACACTCAGTTACTTGCTGCTACTGGAATATATCAAGCATGTTCCCTTATAGACTTGGCATTTGGGGTTCTCTTTGCTTGGAATAATCACTCCTCCAGTCTTTTCCAGGAGTTCACTCAGATCTTCTCCAAGTGTCATCTAATCAGGAGGCCTTCCTTGGCCATTCTATAGACAGTGTCCTTGCCCTTGCTTTTATCCTGTTCATTTGTTTTCTCTGTCATTGGAATGTAAATGTCATAAGGGCAGGTCTTTGTTTTGTTGATGTGGTGTTTACATGCTCCCCGTTTTCCTGGTTTAATCACTATGCTACTTTTCTAGGTAACAATTTCATATCTCCACTTCCCTTCTCAAATTCTTCTCTCTTCTCCCTCCCCATCATTTCCTTCATGAACTTGCTTCCCATTTCATGGAGAAAGTAAAACTTCTACACATTTTCACCATAGTATCTATTAACCTATCATACTCTGCTTCTATTCCTTTAATATAGATGGATATCCACAATTTTATCAAAGGCCTGCCTCTCTCTTTGTGCACAGATCCATCTCCTTACACCTTTTCAAGGATTTGCCTGTAGCAATTGCATTCTCTCCTGAATTATTAATATATTCCCCCTTTCTACTGTATCTTCTCCATCAGGATATAAGCACGATGTTACATATTTCATCTTCAAAAAGAATCATTTTACCCCACATACCCCTGTAGCTACTCCTCCATTTCTCTGCTCCCTACATAGCAAAACTATATACTTGTTCTTTACTTTCTCTTTTTGGAAAAGCAATTTGAAAGTGAAACCAAGATATTCAGTTTTAGTGGAGCTTGAGTGAGGTCAGGAAATTGCACTATACGTTTTTAAGACTCCCTTGGTGAGTGTGCTCAGGATTGAAAACTATTAATTTAAGATTTTGTGTTAGGAACTATTACTAACTGAAGAGGACCATAAATGAAAATGAAATTCTCCAATTTTACTGGAAGCCGGTATTATAAACATTTGATTTATAAGACATAGGTAATTTACCAGGAACACAGTCATGATGGAAAAACGGGTGTCCCTTTGAATTAGTTCCTTGTTTATCTTACTGTTATGGAAATCTTGGACTAGTAACTGGAAATCTTAACATTGTCTCTATAGGCAAATGCTTGCATTTTCCAGCCTTATTGATGTGGGAAGCAGGCAGTAGATGAGGTGAGAGGAAGAGGTGGGAAGGGTGTAGGGAAATTGTGATTTCTCTATTCAAGATGACTGTGTTTTCCAGATATAGATGCGTAAGGTCTATATATATCCTTGTATGCCCTCCTTAGTATTTAACACCTTGCCTTTTATGTGGCAGTTGTTAGCAAATAATGTATTGAATAAACAAAAATAGAAAGCTGTCATCTCCTTTTTTGTAATTCCAGAAGCTCTCAGGAAGTTCATAATGACTAGCCAAAGATGCCTAAAAAGAACAAATGTGATGCTTTAGTTCTTTAGTAAATTCATTCACTCACTCAAAAAATAATTTGTATATGCTAGGCCCTGGGATTTAGCAGATTTGTGGATGCAGATTTGGTGCTACTCATACAAGTTTTAATCTAGCATGATTTTAACCCATGCAAACAATCTGATGCCACCAGTTTCTGACCATGTGGTTTTGTACAGATCATTTCCAAGGTCTGTGCTTCAGCATCTCCATGTATGAGATGGGAAGATAGAGTATATTTTAATGGATTGCTATGAGGATTAAATGAGAAAATCATATAAGAATATTGTTTACCCACTATAAAACCTAGCATAAGTTTTACTTACTGCAACAGTTTATACTCTACACTTTTTAATAGTAAATTGGAAAAAGAACAAATGTAAAGGGTAAAGCTGAATTGTTTTGCTGTTGCTAGTTGTTACTTTTTTATTTTCAGAGAGGCCTTTTCAGGTTTAAAGCTGACTGCTATGAATGAAAAGCCTGCTTCCTTCTTTAGCATTCAAGTGCAAGGGTAATAACCTGCTACAGATCAAGTTGACCTTGCTGTGCTTGTGATGCTGTGGGATAGCGTGCTGGTTGTGGGGCTCTCACAACCTCAAGCACTCTGCTGGATGTGAATGGTTCTCATACAAAACAAGCTGGCAATCCAACATTGTCTTTAATCCCTGGCTTTCTTTAGGCCAGGCCTCTTCTTTGGTGTCTGGCTTCCAGTGGCAAGCCACTTGATGAAATTTCCCCAGAAAATCAGAACCATTATGAACTGCTACCAAAAGGGATCATGCTTTTATACAACCACTCTTGTGTTGCCTTCAAAGAGGCTGATAACTTCATGAATCAAAAACCTTAGCGATCACCCAGGACTGTGGTTTCCAAAGGCCAGTCCTCAGCTCAGGTTTCGTCATGATGGCATTTTCATTGATTTCATCAGCTGAATATATTTTAAAGAATTGTCCTTTATTCTGTTCTTTCATAAAATGACAAATCCACATTGAAAAATAGCATGGTTGTCTTTTCATGCACACATGCAATCTCTGAAATCACGAATTCTAGAAACTAGTTTTACAGATGGGGAAAATGAAACAGAGAGGTGATATGAATTCCCCAAAATGACATAGTCCATTATTTAAAGTATAAGAGTAAATCCTAGATCTACTGATTAATAGTTTAGTGCCAAGTAAGGAAACAGAACCACATATAATGAGAAAAGTAATTTTCACGTTAGAAAATTTCCAGCTTCCAGAGATATTTTGCTATTGCAGAGCCAGTGTGCACCATCATTGGCTTGTATTTTGGCAGAGGGAAAGTTTATACCATCACGGCCCATGCATTTTCCATTTACTCACCTCTTTCAAACAAAAAAAAAAACATATTGCCAGGAAAGACCTCATAGCATATTGGGCAGGCAGTCATGAATAAGGTTGGTACTTGAGATATGTTAGGACTTGGGCTTAAATTCCAGCTTTGTTATTGGCAATGTCACTTAATGTCTTGAATCAATCTCATTATCTGTAAAGTCTCTTTTTCTCTGCTAAGCTTCATACAAGGACAAAAGAGAATATACAGATAAAATTGCTTTATAAGTTGCATAATGTTCTACAGATTGAAAAAGTCATTATTGATGGCAAAAGTTAAAAGTTGCAACCTTTTATCTGTTAATAGGCCTAACTCTTAAGGGTGGTAGAGAATAGAGATTTTTGAAGTTGTGTGTGAATGTATGTTGGCGGCAGAAAAAAAAGAGACTGCACTTGCCTGAACCTCAGAGCAAGTGTCTCTTTATTTATTTATTTATTTATTTGACAGAGTCTCGCTCTGTCACCCAGGCTGGAGTGCGGTAGCATGATCTCAGCTTACTGCAACCTCTGCCTCCTGGGTTCAAGTGATTCTACGGCCTCAGCCTCTCTAGTAGCTGGGATTACAAGCACCTGCCAACATGCTTGGCTAGTTTTTGTATTTTTAGTAAAGAAGGGTTTCACCATGTTGGCCAGGCTGGTCTTGAACTCCTGGCCTCAAGTGATCCGCCTGCCTCAGCCTTCCAAAGTGCTGAGATTACAGGCATGAGCCACTGCGCTCAGCTTGTACCTCTTTAAATTTTGCATTCTAGGCAACTCTTTTCCCTCACTCTTGTCCCAACCCTGAGCGTTATCTTGGTAAGGTGACTCTCTTTACCTGAGGGTGAATCTCAGAAAGGGATTTAGTTAAGAACTGTCGGTTGCCATTTCTAGCAGTTGAGGGAATGGGTGCATTAGTCCTGGAAGAAGGAATCTGGGCAGCATGCTACAGTATCCACTAAACCTCTGTGGAAAAGTTTGGCAGTCTCTAACAAAGCTAAAATACACTTAACTTATGATCCTATAAGTCTATTCTTAGGTATATTTCCAAGAGAAATGGAAACCAAATTGTTCATAAAAATACCTACACAAGAATATCCAGAGCTGCCCCAAACTGGAAACAACCCTTTTGCCCAGCAAAAGGTAAATGGAGAAACAAATATATTGAAACATTTTAATGCCGCTCAATAATACTTGAATTTCATGGGTAGAGCTCTCAAACACTATGCTAAGCCCCAAAAAACTGGGTAAAAAAATACCCAGAACTCTGTATGATTCAATATGAGGTGCTAAATAAGCAAAACTAATTTATGATTGAAAATAAATTTTGGAATGACTATCTCTGACATGGAAGATTGTCTGGTAAAGGGCATGAGAAAGCTTTCTGGGCATAGGAATGCCCTGTATTTCTTTAGAAGTGTCGATTACACAGATGTACACATTTGTCAAAAGTCATCATATTCTTAATATTATACATTTTACTACATGTAAATCTAATTTTAAAAAAACCCATTTTTGTCTAATTGGGAAGATGCAAATTTTTAAAGCTTACATTTGGCTAAGAGGTTAGTATTCAGATTAAAAGGATTTTATAGCATTTCTCACACATATTAGAACATATTAGTGATAATGCCCGACCAGGGAAATAGAGAAAGTTACTTTCTTTCCATTCATTAACCTGTTCTCAGGTTAGTAAGTATTAAAGACTGCCTCTGTATGGCACCTGATCTCCTAAAGTACAATTGTTACAAATTTGGAAACTAAACTTTGAGCAATTATAGATGGCCATAGAAATTCAAAGTCTGATCAAAGAGTAATTAAGCCTTTGATATCAAAAAAGGACTTCTTGGTGTGATGAAGCGCCATAGAACATGGACAATGTATATAAAAGGAGTCAGAACAGGCTAGATGATAGACTTTTTTTTTTTTTTGGCTCTAAGTCTGTTTTCTTTTCTTTTCTTTACTTTTCTGAGACAGGGTCTCACTCTGTTGCCCAGGCTGGAGTGCAGTGGAATGATCACAGCTCACTGCAGCCCCACCTCCTAGGATCAGTCAGTTCTCCTACCTCAGCCTCCCAAGTAGCTGGGACCACAGGTGTATGTCACCACACCCAGCTATTTTTTTTTTTTTTTATTTTTTGTAGAGATGGAGTTTTGCCATGTTGCTTAGGCTTGCTAATTTCTTAAACCAATTCAACTGTCAATATCATCTGTAGGATGGTTATATATAATTGTTTTTAAATTAGCCACATAGAAAATAATAAGTACTTCTATTCCATAGTGTGGTTTGGCCACTCCGAAAAAGTCAATTTTAAGAAATATTACTAGGAATGTCACTGATAAGTAAACTATCTTTGATTATTCTAAAAAAGGTAGCAGACAAAATCAACAAAAAGCTTCTCTTACAGAATGTTATTTAATAAGATTTATTTCTGTCTGAATTCATTTGTTTGTATTGCCTTGAGTTTTAAAGAATTTTAATTTAATAAAGTAAAAACCAACCAAAATGATAATATTATATAAAATTCCCAAATTTCACTAAATTCTCATCCCACAAATCACCCCATTTTATTTCCTGTTGTTAGTGCCACTGAGAATTCTTCTCAAAGTAACCACGACTATTTGTATTTTCTATGGCTAAATTGGGCAGCAGGAAGGAGAGGGAGATGGTTTGTCTAAAAGCTTTCTACAAAAATGTGCTCCAGCTTTAACAAGCATTGGAGTTCTCATTGGAGAGTGGTCAGCTTCATTTGAAAAAGTAACTCCTTTGTAATTTTTTTGTTAATTTTGTCAGAAAAGCTGATTTTCTTTCCATTCGTTAATTTATTCCAACTTTTATGCTTAAAATATTTATTGAGCACCTACTATGGGCCTTTATAATACATGGTATGCATTTTATACCATATTGTATATGATATTGTATTTGCTGATACAGTATAAAGAAAAATAAGTCATCATTGACTGAATTCAAGGCACTTGCATTCTATGGGGAGATTAAATTTGAACACAGCAAATCAACACAATATTAATTTACTTTAACACATTACTGTTAAGGTTACTTTGAAAAATGAAGTTAGAGCAGAAAGAACAAAATCTGAATTTTGGTGAGAGTTGGGAAATGGCCTAATTTAAAGATTCATACCTATATCAGTCATTCTTTCATTTCAACCCCCCAGTTAATTAGCAGCATGGATTATGTGTTAGCTTTTACCCTTCTCCTTCAACCTCCATCTTCTTTTCTTGCAGCTCTCTTGGGTATTTCTGAAAAACAGAAAATGCACTTAACCAAAAGATTGTGCTACTAAGTTTAATTAACTTGAAACACTTTTGTTTTTATGTTTGTCCCTTAGAGCTGGCAAAGTCTTCTTTATGCATGTCATGAAATCTCAGATTTAGCTGGAGTCCTCCACCTGATATTTGGAGATGACACTGAGGAGCATATTTCCATCAGTTTTTATGTATGCACAGTGATTCTCCTGACAGAGATCAAGCCCATCGTTTCTGGTGCTTCATCTTCTGTTTTTAAGGAATCCACTTTCTCTATCGGTAGCTGCTGGTCTGCCTTTCAGTGCCTGAGTGTGACTGAAATTCTCAGATTTCATACTGTGAGACTTTCCCTTACTTAACCAGGAGAGAAAAGTTTATTTCTTTAAGCTCTCAGTTTTCATTGTTCTTTCTTTCTCTTGGATTTCTCCCAGTTTCTTCCTTTACTGCCAGACATAGGGTTATTACTAGCCTCCAATGGAGTCATTTCTCACCCCAATCTGCTGATTTATTGTCCCTTCAATTTTTTCCATAGCACATTCGATAAAATTAATAATTGCAATCAATCAGGCTCAGGCTATGTGCCAGGAATTGGCCAGTTGTTTTTACAGACAATATATTTAATCCTAACAATGATCCTGCAAAGTAGCATATTATTACCTATGTCTAATGGTAAGAAAGCTGAGACTCAGAGAGGTTAGGTAACTTGTTACAAAGTGAGCAAACAGATAACCAAGACTGGAACCCAGATCTCTTGACTCCAAATGTTAGATTTTTCCCAGTCTACCATTTTGCTTTGTCTTGAAGCATAGTGCCAGGAACTTGTTAGGTATTTAACAGGTGTTTGTCAAATTAATGTATAACTATATATGTGGAATCTCCTATATATCTTTTTTCTATAGTGAAATTCTAAAAGTATCTATAATTGGTAGCTGGTAATGGTCTTGCTCACTAGCTATAAACAGCTAGAAAAAATGAGTAATATATATGATACATCTGTTTTCACACATTGGATGATACAAGATCATGCTCCAAGAGAGAAGGTAAACAAATGGGGTGAGCCCTATAGTCAACTCAATTTTCAGTCTGGGAGCACTTTCTGGAATGTGGCATAGGGAGGGGGAACCCAAGCAAAGCTTGAAAGTTTCACTGAGTTGAGAAAACAAAGAGAGGAGTTTGGGAAGGCCTAAGTGACTTGAACTGCAAGGTAGAGTATCAGAGAAAAGGGAGATAAGCCCAGAAAGAGATCCAGAAATATACATAGGAGTCCCTGTGAGCCTTTGGCTGAATATTATCTGGTGCATGTATAGAATGGGACTCTCTGAGGTCAAGTGAAGAACAAGTATCTGGCAAAGAATTCCTAATGAGGGAGTGTAAGCCAAATAATTCCTAGAGCCAACAAAGGGCTGGGAGTTCTGACCAATCAGAATACAGAAATCTTGTTGACCCTCTAGGGCATTCGGTAGAGATTCAAGAAGGTTCATGCCATGGTAGCAGAGTAAAGGACAGTCTAAATCTAGACTTACTCTAACAAGATTTAAAAACAATATGTGAAAGCAAAAGCTGATTCACAAGCAACTTAAATGTCGAACAGAACAAGCTGTCACATTCTTTAAAGGAAGACAGCAAAATCTAGATATTTAATAATGTAAAACTTACAATGTCCAATATCCAATAAAAAATACTAGATATGCAAAGAAACAGAAAAATGTCACCCATATCTGGAATAATAATCAGTCAGTAGAAATGAATCCAAAAGTTATAGAGATGATGTAATTAGATGACAAGAACTCTAAAATTGCTATTATAAATATTTCGAAGTATCTAAAGAATAATATAAACACAATGAGTCAAGAAATAACCAAATGGAAATTCTAGAGTTGAATAATGAAGTATCTGAAATACAATATTCATCTGATGGACTTAACAACAGAACAAAAGATTAGCAAACTTGCAACTAACCAACTGAAGACATGTAGATAAAAGAAACATAAGACAAAAAATAAACAGAGCCTCAATTACCTTGAGAAAATATGAAATAGTATAATATCTATATAATTAGAGACCCAGAAAAAGGAGGGAAGAAAAATTATTTAAGAAATAATTGCCATTTTTTTTTCCCAAGGATCTCAACAGGACAAACACAAAGAAAATATCAAGGTGCATCATAGACAAATTATTGAAAATCAGCAATAAGGAGAAAACCTTAAAAACAGCAAGATAAAAAGATGCATTATGTGTAAAATTAAAAAAGAAAACAATGATTGCTGAATTCTTATCATACCAATGCACAAAAGACAACAGAACAATATCTTTAATGTGTGAAAAGTAAAAAAAAAAATGTCAAACTAAGTTTTACATTCAGGAAAAATATTCTTTGAAAATAGAAGACAATGAGATTTCTGATTTGTGGTTATCACTCCCATTCTCATAATAAGAAAAAATCTGAAAAAACTGGAAATCCACAACTCTTCTTAAAATTGAGGTAACAGGGCAAGCCACTACCTTGAATATTAGAGACAGGAAGATACAAAGAATTCAGCTTAAAGAAAGAAGGAAGCCTTGGAGGAGAAGCCTGGTGCTGGAGCCTGTACCACTTTCCACAACATCAACTGTGCTACTGTATAATAACAGGGCATTATAGCCAAAGAACTGTAAGCCTCAGACCCTATTTAAGGAAGAGTCTCCAGGGAAATCTAAAAATAACAGGGAAGACTAAAACAAGGACACCCAGAGAAAATGCTAGCCTTTGATATGTACAGCTATAGCAACTGGCAAACACAATGTAACTCCTAGCCAGATCAACATTGAACCTCACACAAAAGGTCTATTTACTTCATTTCCTTCTAATTGATACATCCTCTCAGGCTGTCAGCAAAAAACTAGAAGACGTGAAAATGCAAAAACTCTGTCTGAAGAGAGAAAGCATGCCTTAGACTCAGACTGGCAGAAATTTTGAGTGATCAAACCAGATATTTAAAATAACTATGATTAAAATGCTAGCAGAATGGAAAAAGTAAACAACATGCACAAATGGAAGGCAAAACAAAGACATTTTCAAATAAGCAAAAGGTGATAGAATGTGTCATCCACAGACCTGCACTATAAAAAATGGTAGAGGAAGTTCTTCAGTATGAAAGTGAATGATACCAGATGGAAACTGAGATCTACAAAATGAAACATCACTGGAAATAGTAAATACATGGGTAAGTATAAAACATTTTTTTCTCATTTAAAAAGAGTATCTTTAAGGGCAAATTAATTATTTAAATAAAAATAATAACTACATTGTATAGTTAACATATGCAGAGGTGAAATGTATGATGAGGATCACAAAGTAAGGCGGGCAGAAATGATAGTTTACTCTTTTAAGTTTCTTACATTATATATTATTTGATATTTGATGAATATTATTTGATGGTAGTCAGTGTTTAAAAGAGGCATACTGTAAATCCTAACAAAACTACAAAATAAATAAAACTAAACGTTGTTGTTAATAAATCACTAGAAAAGATAAAATGTAACACAGATCCTGCATAATTCATCCAAACAAAATCAGAAAAAGTAGAAAAAAGAAACCAAAAAACCAGGTGGGATAAACAGAAAACTAACAAGATAGTAGATGGAAACAAAACATATTGGTAAAATGGTAAAAATATGTCCATATTCTAAAAGAAAATAACCTAACTGAAATTGCCAACATTTTGTAAAACTATTTATTCACTGAACATCAAAAATGGAGAGCTCTTATCCAAGTCTAAATTGATTTAAACTGAGGATGCTGTCCATCATAGTCTTCTCATTTTCCAGGGTTAGCTCTGGATGGTACTGCTGCCTCCAAGCAGCATCAAGATTTAGGAGGGCTAACAGTGATCGGACATAATAGGTGAGCTTTGGGTCTCTTTACTGGAGAACTGGCCAAGGGCAAAGGAATGTGGATAAATATTAACTATGGAGTAAATGATCCATTATAGAAACAAAAACCAAAGCAGCTATATCCATGTTCTATCTTGCATTTTATATATATATGTGTGTGTGTATATATATATATTTATAATATAAACAAATTATTTTTTCTTTTTCCCTTACTCTTAATATTTTATATGAGCAGTGTTGGTGGTAGTTGCCTTTATAATTTAGTTTTTTTAGGTCATAGAATATCTAGGTAGAATTGTGAATCATGGAAATGGTGGCTGACAGGGCTTTATGCTTCTCAGTTTTTGAAAATGATGAGAGAATTTTTGTATGAGGAAGAGGTACATCATGTCGTGCAGGGCCATGATTCTGTTATCAATGGAAGTTAAATATGGCTAAAAGGGTGAGAAAGAATCTGAGTAACTAAAGGGCTAGACTGCACCAACTACTGACTGCTGTCAGCTCCTTTCCAAGTTTTCCATGCTCTGTTCTGTATCATAGGGGCTAGGCTTCTGCAAAGTACACTTCCCAGACTCCCTTGATGGTGGGCTTCCCTTTCTGTTTCACCGGTGGGAGGTAACAGCAGCAGACTGCATGCAAAGCAGAGCTAGAACTGGGGCAGGGAGACAGATAGAGAGGAAGGTCATTGCTCTTCTCTTTATGCTTTTGCTGTTGCCACTGGCAGAACTGAGTGGCTATGTACTCCAGCCACCTTCAGTAGATCTGGCTGCAGTAGATCTGGTGGGTGATTGCTAGTGATGGCCAGAGGTCATGGGCTTCAGTGATATCAGTAAGTCGGGCAGTTGTGATTACAGCAGCATAAGCAGTAGCTGCTGTCTGACCCCGCAGCAGCAGAGTTGGCAGTTAGTGTTCCTAGGCTCTGCTAACACCACCTCCATCCTTCTGTGCCTCCAGCCCTACTGGTGGTAGCAGCTTCCTGAAGTTACTAATCTCTGGGATTATTTACAACCCCCTTTTGGCTTCCTTTGCTTTCGAATGCTTTTGGAACCAAGTGCCTGCATCAAATCCTCCCTCCCAACCCTTGTTTGAAATAATTAGTGTAGTTTTCATTTTCCTGATCAGACTCTCACTGATTTAGGGGACAGGAGAGATTTAAGCAAATATAAGCTCCTTCTAAAGGGTTTCCTAATATCTCCACTGCAGGATAGGCCAACTCATGAGGTACTTACCACACCCCTGTCTCTTTGGGCATGCCAAGTCCAGCTACCCCCAACTCTCAGGTCTTTGAGTATGTTCAAACAGACAACACGTGCCTAGGATTCAAACTGAAGCTGGGACATGTTCAGTAGGTATTAAGGTGGTTTATATTAACCTTAAATGTCCCTTTTAGTTGTAATATTTTCGAATAGTGGTTTCCATCCTGTGGATCATTGTGGGATGTTAGAAATTTTTTTTGGAAGGGATTCATAAATCCATGTGGGCACAAGAATTTGTATACTGGAAAAAATGTAGTTTCTCGAAATATTATCTTTTTTAAAACAAGTGTATGAAAATAGCTTTAGGATTAGTAAAATATAAATTTATGAAATACAAATTTATGTATATAAATGAATACACAGCTGTTTTTGGTAACTGCAATTTAAAAAATCAATGTAGTCTAATAATATTATTTTTTCTTCTTGTGATGGGGATAAATACAAAAATTATTTTATTTTTAAAAAGAAGCACTTTTACCTGACAGAGTTGTAACCCTTATACCAGAGCTCTGACTTTCAAATATGGCATAGTTTCAAATTCAAGTGACTCATTTTAAAAGTTCTAAAGCTTGCAGTGTTTGGAGGACAATTTTCTGGAACCAATCTTTGCTTAACAAGAGTTTATTTTTTTAAACTATGATATTACTAAGTAACTCAGATTTAATATACTTAGGTCATTTAGGAATTCCATCAGAAACGGGCTTTTATTGGCAAGATAATTAATTTTATGGACATGCATAGTTTTTGTTTCCTCCTTAACAGAAAATTTTAATTACATCTTAAGAATCCAGGGAGCAAATTTTGAGAATAGCAGTAAAATACGACTTTAAGGTGAGCTTAAGTTATAGTCCCTGGTTTTCTTCTGGCTGTCAACACAAGTGCTGCCATTTTAGGATGTTAGATTAACTAACATGATTACTTCTGCCATAAAAATTACTAGTGACAATGCATTGTGGTTGAAAGAAGGGAACCTAACATTTATTGGTGGCCTACTAAGAGCAGGATGCCAAACCAGGTTATATATATATGAAACTTAACAGAAGCTCCAAAATTGCAATAATTTGGCCAGGAACATGTAGTTAATAGCTAGCCAAGGCAGAATTTAAATAGATGTTTGTTTGGTTAAGAGCTAGATTTGACACCAAATGCCTGAGTTTGACCTCAATTCCTCCAATAATTATCTATATGACCTTGGTCTAGTCATTACCTCTAGCTTCAGCTTCCTTATCTGTAAAATGGGAACAGTTACACTGCCTCTATCATAGGGTGGTTTCAGAATTCAATGTGAAGGCCAGGCGTGGTGGCTCACGCCTGTAATCCCAGCTCTTTGGGAGGCCGAGGCGGGCGGATCACGAGGTCGGGAGATCGAGACCAGCCTGGCTAACACGGTGAAACCCCGTCTCTACTAAAAATACAAAAAATTAGCCGGGCATGGTGGCTGGCGCCTCTAGTCCCAGCTACTCGGGAGGCTGAGGCAGGAGAATGGCATGAACCCGGGAGGCGGAGCTTGCAGTGAACCCAGATTGCGCCACTGCACTCCAGCCTGGGCGACAGAGCGAGACTCCATCTCCAAAACAAAAACAAAAACACAGAATTCAATGTGACAATGCACATTAGGCACAAAGCATATTGACTGACACATAGTAACTATTCTAAATGTTAGCTCTTACTATCTTTATAACGCTCCCATTTTCCTTAAAATTAGAGTTAGTAAAATTGATGTTTAGACCTAAGTCTATCACTAACAACTAAAGTTGTATGAGTTTCAAAAAGTCACTTCAACCTCTAAACTTCAGTTTTTTAATCTGTAAAATGGAGATAATTAATAATTATTTTCCAGCCTCTTTTGAAGGCTATTATACAAGAATTAAATGAGATTAAGGAGGCAAAAAAATAAAATGCTTTGTGCACAATCGTGAGTTTATAAATATATAAATATACATTATACTAAATATATAGTTGTTTTTGAGAGGTTCACCTTGGCTTAGAGTTTATCTGATTTAAGAATAAAGTGTTGCCTCATTTAAGGTTTTGATTTATTTACATGTTTTCATATGTAATTTTAAATGTCTTCAGGAAAGGGTGTGCATGCTCTGTTTGAAACCCATTGCCAGTTTCAATATTTCTTCCTCTTCCCAGAGAAAGGCTCAGTCTAGCAGCAGAGCAAACTGGACATTTTCTCACCATTTGTTTCACCAGAGAAAGGAAGGGACAGCAACTTGGAGTCTGGAGCTGACGCAGAGGATGTTTCTTGATATCTTCAACTTGAACCTGTCTCACTTGACAGATTTATGCTGCCAGAGTGGTTCTTCTAGTAAGAAGCCCCTTGCCATCAGACACTGCATTTCACTTGGTGATTTTCCAGACTCCTCAAATCTTTTATGGAAAGAGGTAGATCACGGATACAAATATAAAAAGATAAAAATAGCAACTTGCCTTTCAATTGAGTAAAACAATTTATTCAGCATAGTAAAGATGAATTAAATTTGTGGAAGTTATCCCATTAGATTATCTTTTAAATGATTAATATAAAGCCAGAAGATGTATTTCACTTCCAAAGGCATAACCTGTTAATCTCAAAATTCTACAATTTCTCTTTATCTCTCCTTTTTTCTCGACCCCTTGGGTTCATTCCCCATCCTTGCTTTTCCAGGCTGCTGCCATTCTTCTAAATACACTTTCTGTAGTCTTCTAGCACCTTCACATTCCAGTGTCCACCTTGTTGCCTTGTTGCCAGAGAGACCTTTTTCAGATACACATCTGAGTATGTTATTCTCTTTCAATTTCTCCCCATTACCGTCAACACAAAGTCCACACCTTTTGCATAACAGTGCTCACAAGAAATACTAGCTTCCTACATCCTTTCATTGCCTAACCTGGCGCTTAAAGCCTCCACAGTCTGTTTTCCATCTGCTCTTATATTGTTATTTTCTTCTGCCCTTTTCCACTTTACAAATTCCCAGCCATCCAGGACATCTTTATGTTCCCCAAGGATGAGTTAAACGTTCATATTTCCATGCCTTTTTTCACTTTTTTCTCTCTCTTCCCTGACTAGAAAATTTGTATTCCTCTTTTTAGAATCAGCCACCTTGTGCTACATCCTTTGTGAAGACTTATTTGCCAGTCCCTGACAACCCCCCTTTCCCACCTGTAGATTCAGCTCCCCTACCTCTGCACTTTCATAGCATCTAGTACTTACATATCTCTAAGAGTACACTTGGATATTAGCCTGTAGCATTTGTGCACATGGCTGTCTCTCTCAATGGACTGTGAGCTCCTTGAGGGTAGAGACTGCCTATCTTATTTTATTTTTTGAGTCATTAGTGACAAATATAGTGCCTGGTACAGGGTGCTAGTAGACTGTAATGGCTCAACAGTTAAACTACAGATTCAAAAAGACCTGAGTGGGAAGTCCAATGTTAGTACTTACTAGCTAAGTAATATTGGGAAAGTCACCTGATTCCTCTTGATTTTAACTTTTTTTCATCTGTAAAATGCAGACAATAACAAAATACCTATCTTATAAGGCTGTTGCAAAAATTAAATAAGTTAGTATGTGTAGACCTTTCTTTTTTTTTTTTAGACGGAGTCTCGCTCTGTCGCCCAGGCTGGAGTGCAGGGGCGCGATCTCGGCTCACTGAAGGCTCCGCCCCCCGGGTTCATGCCATTCTCTGGCCTCAGCCTCCCGAGTACCTGGGACTACAGGCGCCCGCCACCTCGCCCGGCTAATTTTTTTTTGTATTTTTAGTAGAGACGGGGTTTCACTGTGTTAGCCAGGCTGGTCTCGGTCTCCCGACCTCGTGATCCGCCCGCCTCGGCCTCCCAAAGTGCAGGGATTACAGGCGTGAGCCACTGCGCCTGGCCCCTGGTATGTGTAGAACCTTCAAAGCAATGTCTGGCATAGTAACTCTGTACTTTGTTTTGGCTTTATTATTATTATTATTGTTGTTGTTACCTCTTACAATTGTTGGGAAGATTACATAAGATTGCTCATACATGGGAAATGTTTAGCATGGCAACTGGCTTGGAGTACACGTTCAATATGGATTAGATGTTTTAATCATTATTACTTTTATTATTAAGAATTGTTGAAGAAATGATCTTCCTGTTTTCTTGTCTGTTGCCCTTTAGACACCATCTCTGGAAGTTCCACTGACTTCAAAACTCACTACATCCAAAATTTATCTCACAATATTCCCCTGAAACCTGCTCATGTAAAAATGCTTGGCAGAGCAGCTACATAAATATTTTCTTCCTCTCGTCCTGTCCCCTTCCCTCTCTTCTTCCTCCTTCTCCATCCCTTTCTGTTTTTCTCCCTAATTATCCCATCACCTTTCTCTTGGTGTTCTAAAATTAATCTCTTGCCTCTCCTTCCCCTCAACACAATATTTCACTGATTCCCATGATATTTTTGAAAGGTGTCTGGGTTGCATGTATTTCTGTGTCATTCTCATGGCCCTTTCTTTGCAGAGTTTCACCTGCCACCTGGATCATTTCCTATTTTTCTGCAGCCACTTCAGGGCGGGGACCCAGTATCACGAAGCTGCAAGGTAAAAAGGATCAAACCTTAACTGCCTACATGTGCTCACAGGAACATAAGTGAGTGAGGCTCACCAGCAACCAGGAAGTGAGCTGAGCCTAACATATGGGAGAGATCCTGTCTCATCTGCAGGGAAGAGCTGCTATATAGGAAAGTATCTGCTCATTGCTGCCATGTGGGAATGCTGGTATTGCTGGACTTTCTGATGTTTTAGGAGAAACTGCTGATCTGTGCATGAAGTCTGATATATAAAGATGATACTATATTTATGTGTCTATGGATAAATAAATAATGTCAACTGGTTCCAGAAAAAAAAAACAAAAACAAACAACAACAACAACAACAAAAAACCACTGTGTGGGCTAAACAAGCCTGCTGATTAGATTTGGCACATTGACAGTGAGGTTAAGGTGCCTAAGTGCCTGAAAAACTTATGTGTTTTTGTTTATGAGAACAACTTCAGCAAAGTTTCAAGATACAAAATCAATTTACAAAAATCAGTAGCATTTCTATACATCAACAACGTCTAAGATGAGACCCAAATCAAGAATGAGGTCCCATTCACAACAGTCACACACACAAAATATCTAGGAATACAGCTAGCCAAGAAGGTGAAAGATCTCTACAACAAGATTATAAAACACTGCTCAAAGAAATCAGAGATGACATAAACAAATGGAAAAATATTACATGCTCATAGATAGTAAGAATCAATATTGTTAAAATGTCCATATTGCCCAAAGCAACTTATAGATTCAGTGCTATTCCTAGCAAACTACCAGTGATATTTTTCACAGAATTAGAAAAAAAAAAAAAACTATTCAAAAATCCTATGGAACTTTTAGAGCCTGAATAGTGAAAAATAGGTTAAGCAAAAAGAACAAAACTGAAGGCATCACGTTACCTGACTTTAAACCATATTACAGAGTTACAATAACCAAAACATCATAGTACTGGTACAAAAACAGACACATGGACCAATGCAACAGAATAGAGAGCCTAGAAATAAAGCCACACACCTACAGTCATCTGATCTTTGACAACATCTACAAAAACAAGCAATGAGAAAAGACTTCCTGTTCAACAAATGGTGCTGAGATAACTGCCTAGCCATATGCAGAAGATTGAAACTGGACCGCCCCCCCCACCCTTTTTTTTTTTTTTTTTTTTTTTTACCATATACAAAAACCAACTCAAGATGGATTAAAGACTTAAATGTAAAACCTAAAACTATAAAAAACCTAGAAGAAATCCTAGGAAAAACTATTATGGACATAGGTCCTGGCAAAGATTTCATGACAAAGATGCCAAAAGCAATTGCAACAAAAAGAAAAATTGACACATGGGACCTAATTAAATTAATGAGCTTCTGTACAGCAAAAGAAACAATCAACAGAGTGAAGAGACAACCTACAGAATGGAAGAAAATATTTTCAAACTGCATCTGACAAACTTCTAATATCTAGAATCTATAAGGAACTTAAACAAAATAACAAGCAGAAAACAAACAATCCCATTAAAAATTGGGCAAAGGACATGAATAGACACTTTTCAAAAGAAGACATACACACAGTCAATAAGCATGAAAAAATGCTCAACATTACTAATTATTAAAGAAATCCAAATCAAAACCAAATGAAATTGGGCAAAGGGCATGAACAGACACTTTTCAAAAGAAGACATACACACAAGCCAATAAGCATGAAAAAATGTTCAACATCACTAATTATTAAAGAAATCCAAATCAAAACCAAAGAAATTGGGCAAAGGACATGAATAGACACTTTTCAAAAGAAGACATACACACAGCCAATAAGCATGAAAAAATGCTGAACATCACTAATTATTAAAGAAATCCAAATCAAAACCAAAATGAAATACCATCACACTCCAATCAGAATGGCTAATATTAAAAGGTTAAAAAATAACAGATGCTGGTAAGGCTGTGGAGAAAATAAAACACTTATACACTGTTGGTGGGAATGTAAGTTAGCTCAGCCATTTTAGAAAACAGTTTGGCAATTTCTCAAATAACTTAAAATAGAACTACCATTTGACCCAGCAGTCCCATTATTGGGTATATACCCAAAGCAATGTAAATTTTCTACCATAAATTCACATGCATGCATATGTTCATCACAGCACTATTCACAATAGCAGAAACATGGAATCAAATGCTCTTCAACAGTAGACTGGATGAAGAAAATATGGTACATATACACCATGGAATACTACACAGGTTTAAAAAGAACAAGACCATGTCCTTTGCAGGGACATGGATGGAGCTGGAGGTCGTTACCCTAAGCAAACTAATGCAGGAACAGAATACTAAATACTGCATGTTCTCACTTACAAGTGAGAGCTAAACATTGGGTACACATGAACACAGAGAAGGAAACAACAGACTTTGGGACCTACTGGAAGGTAGAGGGCGGGACCAGGGTGAGGATTGAAAAACTACCTATTGAGTACTATGTTTAACACCTGGGTGATGAAATAATCTGTATAACAAACCCCCATGATATGCAATTTACTTATATAATAAACCTGCACATGTTCACCTGAGTCTAAAATAAAAGTTAAAAAAAAAGAATCAAGATTTGAGAAAAAAAAAATGTTTATGAGAACAAATGCATTCAAGTCTTTTTACCCTCCTATCTACTTCCCAGGCCTTTATTCAATTTATTTCTGCCTCCTGGATTTTTCTCTATTATTTAATCTCATCTTCAAAGCCCTTCTTTCATACCTTTTATACCAATTGAGAACTTTCTCTATGGTGAGAAGGTGAATTGATAAGAAGGAAATATAAGGAGATAACTGGTGAAGTAACAGACAAAACCTGGTAGAAAATAGACACAACAGTTCCTCAAATATTTTGAAAAATCTAGTCTTCTCTTTGGTACTATTGCACTCAGAGGAGAGTTGAAGATAACTTTTATGTTAATTGAATTATAAAGCATTTTACATTTCATTAGTGTCTAACTAGATTGTGGGTTCCTCAATGGCAAGGAACTGGCATTAAATACGAATTATATTCAGGGCTCCTATAGATCGGCAGATAACTGGATATATAAACATCAACAAATAATTAACTACAAGTCAGTTAGGACTGACCACTGGTTAGTTTTAGTTAGGAGGAGAATCATATTAATACACAATAGATATAACAATATTAGCTTTAGTTTATTAGCTTTAGTTAGGAGGGGAATCATATTAATGTGCAATTGATATAACAATCTTTCAATATAGGGCTAAGGCTTTTGCTTTGCCTGTAGATCTACTGACTGGAATGGCCAGTTGACTATTTCTCTCTTTTTAATTCTTTTTCTCTTTAATTTTTAAATTTTGTTTTATCATGGTAAGAACCCTTAACATGAGATTTACCCCCTAAACAAAATTCTAAGTGTACAGTACAGTATTGCTGTATATACCTGTATAGAGATAATGTTTTACAGCAGGTCTCTGAACTTCTTCATCTTGCATAATTGAGACTTTATGCTCATTGATTAGCAACTCACAATTTCCTGCTTCCCTTAACCCCTGACAACCACCATTCCACCCTCTGATTCTATGAGTCTATTTTAGATACCTCATATAAGTGGAATTATGCAGCCTTTGTCCTTCTGTGATGGGCTTATTTCACTTAGCTTAATATCCTCAAGGTTCATCCATGCTGTTGCATATTGCAGGGTTTCCTTTTCTGATGGCCGAATATCAGCCAACTCTCTTGAGTGATTGTACCCATAACCTCTACAATTTTAAGGTTCTTTAAAGTGAAGCAAGCTATAAAGGCACTTGGAGGGAATTTGAATGTTTAAGCCTTTTAGTTTTTTATAATTTTCCTCCAATCTTTTACCGTGGTCTTTATCATGACTAATTTGACAAGTGTCTTTTACCAAGTTGACTTTAATTACTGGTCTTGATACAGTTGTATTAAATATTTGTATTGAGATAGTTGTATGAACTTTATCATATAAATACAAATGTCTTTATAAAACCTCAAGTTTTATCGTTTCTCAGCCTTTTGGCTAAGATCAAGTGTAAAAACTCACATTTTATTAGCTTACATGATATTTCATTCAATCTTATTACATTAAAAAATACAACAGAGGACAATGAGGACAAATACAACTGACTTTTGCTTAGCATATCACTGTACTGCTGGGAGATAAGATTCTGGCATGCTGAACACTAACCCAACAGCACTAGACACCCTCTATTCTGTAGGCATAACTTTAAATTTTTTACAAAATGAATGGAAGCTATTGGATATTCTATCAGATCATTAGGTGAAGGTTCAGGTAAGAAAGTATTTACACTACTATTGATTGGATTCAAGTAGCATTTATTGGGTTCTTTACAATAATAATATTTTCTCACCCATGTATATGTTCAGTGCAATTTCCAAGGTGCATTTTCTTATATTATCATATAAGAATCCCTATGAATAAAACTTTTTTCCCTTTTGACAGAGGAGGAATATAATTTTCAGAAAGGTTAAAGTGACATCCCTAAGATCATGCAGCTTGAAAATAACAGAGTGGAGTCTAGAAACCTGTTCTGGTCTGACCTCAAGTCCAGGGCTCTTTCTGCTTCCCCAGTGCTTCCTCTCTATACCAGGCAGTTGGCTAAATGAGCCTTAAAGACCCGTTCAGTTCTAGCATGCTCTGATTCTATGATATATTAGCAATATCCTGTATACATCATGCATTGTATTGCTAGGAGCTAGCTGTGCCTTCATATCTCTGTGGCCACTGGCAAGATGTGGAAAGAGGAGATTAAGTGGAGGGGCCAATTGGTTTCAGATTGGTTGGGTAAATGTTTCAGAACATCTTTGGGTTTGTCCCTCTCTCCTTTGATGAATGGCTCTCACCTCTTTTTGACATATTGATCTTGAGTGCTGGGTATTTTTCTCTTACCAGCTTTGCTGCCAGTTTTCCATCCATCCCCCGGGGCTGAGATGAGGTGAGAGGTAAGTTGTTTGTGAGTATGACTTGACTGAGCAGTGCAACCAGGCTGAACGTTTAGAAAGCCCTTCTGTACTTGGAGCCTGCTTTCATGTCTTGAAAATCCTGATTTATTTCAGGACAGGGAAAATCTGAGCTGGCATGCAGAGTGGAAATTAAAATCTTAAAACTATGTATGAAAATTGAATATTCCAAATGGCCTGGTTTAAACATCACTCCGCATCGTTGATCAAATGTAAAAGTTCTTGAAATGAAACGGGGATTTATGAGTAGGTATAGGACTGGAGAAAGGCTTGACGAATATTTATGGGTAACTTCAAGGAATTCCACTCACTGCACTTTAGTCTGATTTTTGTACCCTCAAGTCTTTGCTTTGGAGATTTCAAGCCTGCAAATGCTTATAAATTTAAAAATATTTTGGTTTGGCTGTATTCTTTTAACTTCTGAATTTTGTCAAGGAGTGGAAGAGAGACTATATATATTTATTTCCACATATTTATCACACTGCATATAAGTATATGCATATATTTTTCTTTAGATTTATGTCTGTGACCTTGAGAAGAGAAACCTTGCTTTAATTATCTCTGCACACCCTGACCTAATACAGTGCCTGGAAAATAGGAGACAGAGACCCCTATATGTGCTCTACTGACTCATATTTGTTAGTTATATTTGTTGAACACCTCCTTGTGCTAGGCCCTGTGCAAGTTACCAAGGGATGTACAGAGACAAATGGAGAGAGCAGGAATTTAAAAAATGACCTTAACTTTAAAACATAAAGAAATAAAATTTTAAAATGCAAAACATAAAACCATCCAGACTTACAAATCAATTCCTTTTTTGTAAGCTTCAGTCAACAGCCCTGCAGGTGAGCAAATGTTGATCATTTCATATACATATCTTAGGTTTGGAAGGAAGAGGCAGGGATGTCTATTTGAATTTTATTCTCCCTTTGGCTGGAGAGGAATGAGATTTACACATACAACCTTTGTTGTTGGACAGGTTGGTGACAGTGGTGTAAGCGTCATCAATGAAATCCAAGACATGGTTTTAGGTACTTCCACATAAATTATCTCAAAAGTTCTGTAAGATTGGGAATTTTACTTATTTATTCATTTATTTATTTTTAGATGGGATCTTGCTCTGTTGGCCAGGCTGGAGTGCAGTGGCATGATCTTGGCTCACTGCAACCTCCACCTCCTGGGTTCAAGCAATTCTCTGCCTCAGCCTCCTGAGTAGCTGGGATGACAGGCAGCTGCCACCATGCCTGGCTAAGTTTTGTGTTTTTAGTAGAGATGGGGTTTCACCATCTTGGCCAGCCTGGTCTTGAACTCCTGACCTCGTGATCCACCCCCACCCTACCCTCCCAAAGTGCTGGGATTACAGGTGTGAGCCACTGCGCCCAGCCAGGAATTTTACTTATATATTTTTTAAATGCTCTTCCTCTTCCTGAAAGACTTACCTTCTACCTTCCATCTGTTAAACACTCTCTGTCTTTCAGGTGACAGCTCCAGGGGTGCCCCTTGTATGATGCCTCCTCTTCTAACTGCATGCTGGTTCATAGTCTCCTTCCTTTCTACTCATGTAATGCTTTGCATATTCCTCAAGCATGGCACATATGCATCTGCATGGCAAATAGTCTTTTCTGAAGGTTGGACTGTGAGCTCCTCAAAGCAGCTTACTGATTCACAGTAAATACCATTCTTCCATGCAAGTGCTCAAACTGGGACTCTGGGAGCTTGTCCTACCACCTTCTCAACCTTGCTACTACTCATGCAATGAGTCATCAGGTCCTTTGCATTTTACCCCTAAATACAACTTGGAGCCTCCAACTCTTTCCACTGTGGCCATTTAGTTCACGTCAACCTCACGTCTCTTCAGAGAGCTCCTGGCTGGCCCCACTATTTTCACTCTCCTAAAACTTTCTCTTTTTTCCCTGCTTAAAACTCTTCTGCAAATCCCCATTACAGCTAAAATGAAATCCACAGATCTTAACATCCCCTACAGATCCCTGCATGATCTGGTTCCTTCCTGCCTATCCAGCTCTATCTTGGACCTCGGCTCCCTGACCTCCAAATGCATTGGCATCTTCTTTGTCAAGTGCATTTGTACATCACATTTCTTCTGCCTAGAATGTTCTCTGTCCCACTGTTCACATAGCTAGCTCCTGCTATCTTCAGATCTTAGCTCAAATGCCACAATCACAAGTGGACCCCTGAGATTTTCTTCAGAGGAGTTTATTTTTTTCTTTATAGTATCTATCAGAATTTTTATTTACTTATCTATTTATTTTTGCTTAAAGTCTCTCTTCTCCCCTGGAATGTAAGACCCATTGGGAGAGAGATGCATCAGTCATTGTTTTTTTTTCCATATATATATATATGTATGTATATACACATACATATATATATAGTACTAAGTTAGTGCCTGAGAGTACAGGAGACATTTACTAAGTATTTATTAAAAAATTAAATAAAGGAATGGATAAAAATAAAATTCTTCAAGCATGACTATCACACCACTACTATTGAATGGGCCCCTTATTTGTATTTAGTGTGTTTCTCCCTAGTAAAGGTAATTAAAATATATATTTAGTTTTTGTTTTTTTCTCCTATAGATAGGTCATATATGAATATATATATCATATATATCACACATATATCATATATATATATCATATATATATGATATATATATATGATATATATATATCATATATATATATACTTTTTGTATATGGACAGAGTTTTACTCTGTTGCCCAGGCAGGAGTGCAATGGCGTGATCTTGGGTCACTGGAACCTCCACTTTCTGGATTCAAGCGATTCTTTTGCCTCAGCTTCCTGGGTATCTGGAACTACAGGTGCCCACCACCATGCCTGGCTAATTTTTGTATTTTTAGTAGAAATGGGGTTTCACCATATTGGCCAGGCTGGTCTCAAACTCCTGACCTCCAGTGATCCACCTGCCTTGGCCTCCTAAAGTGCTAGGATTACAGGCGTGAGCCACCGTGCCCGGCCTGTATTTTTATAGGTTGTGAATATCCTTTTATTCTCACCTTTCCCTCACCTAGCAGTAACTGGAAGGTGCTAATTGGCCCATCTATGAGCACCTAAAACGCTCCATCTGAAAATGCCCACCTCCTGCCCATGCACCTGTAAGTTGTCCATCCCTGCACTCTCTGGCCTCCCACCCTCTAGGGGAGGTCTGCTTCCTTCACTTTGGAGAGGGCTGCTGCGCAAGCCATTGTAGCCCCATTTTATATACAAGGAAACTGAGGCAAGCATACAGTGAAACAACTTGGCTGAGCTAGAACAGAGTCTCAGGACTACCTGTCAAAGAAGATAAATGGACTAGTCAAGGAAAGTTGGGGAGGAATTCAAACCACATGCCTGGCCTAGGCTGACAGTGAGGCTTAATGCAGGTAACCACACTTCACATCCTGTGCCGGGTTTGAAGTGCTCTGGTGATCTGCAAAGAGAGCCTCAACACAGCCAACTCACTGCCAAAAAAGAAATTCTCACTCAGAATATTGGCCAAACAACATTTTTATTTGAAAGAAACCAAGCCAAATAAAAACACATAGTATTTTCTTCTCATGCCTTTCCTTGCCTGGGATATTTATTTATTTACTTTTCTTTCATTCTCCTGACCACCTCTGACATTGTTTTTATTTTGAGGAGATTTAAAAATAACTTCCCTGTACTCATTCATCTTGCTCTCCTGAGATAGAGGGAATTTTCACATTTTCCAGCCAGTTTTAATGTAGCAGAAACAATCAGAGGTGCTGCTGTGACTTTTGGTGTATTAGAAAAGGGGAGGGCTGGGGCAGGTGGGCTTGGCCAATAAAATACAGCTGGGGAACAGGAAACTGCAGAGAGATTTCCCAGACTTGGCCTGCGCTGCAGCCCCGCTGTGCTCTCCTGTGAAGCTGCACCAGGCCTCTGGGCTGAATTCCCACCTGGGCTTGAGAGGGCCCTCCCATGTTGGTCCTTCTTGCTCCCTAGTGCAAGACTTCCTTTGCCCACAACGACACTGCCTCCCATGTACAGAACAGTGCTATCGCTATGACTCATTTCTGCATCTTGATTGCTGAGATCACTGATCAGGTTTGTGACAAAACAGCATCAAATCTGAAGAGTTGTGTCCTCCCCGCACCACCCCCCTCGCCCCCACCATTATTTGCTCACCTTGAAGGTAATCCAGGATAGGAGTCCCTCTGAAGCAAACAGAACATCCATCAAAGACCCGAAAGAACATAAGGTAATTGGCCGGGTGCGGTGGGTCATGCCTGTAATCCCAGCACTTTGGGAGGCCGAGGCGGGTGGATCACAAGGTCAGGAGTTCGAGACCAGCTTGGCTAACATGGTGAAACCCCGTCTCTACTAAAAATACAAAAATTAACTGGGCATGGAGGCGTGCGCCTGTGATCCCAGCTACTCAGGAGGCTGAGGCAGGAGAGTCGCTGGAACCCAGGAGGTGGAGGTTGCAGTGAGCCGAGATTGCGCCATTGCACTCCAGCCTGGGTGACAGGGCAAGACTCCATCTCAAAAAAAAAAGGAAAGAAGAAAAGGAATATAAAGTAATTTATTCCAGCTTGTTTTCTGTTTATTTCATTGTTCCAAGCATGATTCCCTCCATTCCATCTGCAAGTTGAATTCCAGATCATCTTCCCAATCATCCTCCCTGAAGGGCATTTCTGAGAATGTCATTCAAACTACTTCCATGGTTTTTCTGTGGGCCTTTGCTTATTGCTGTTTCCTTGCCCTTGAATGGCCTTCCCCGGGGTTTTTGTGTTACTACCCATTCCTCTAGGCTCAGTTCTAATTCCACCTCCTCCACCATAAAGCCTTCTTGGAGGAAATTAAGTGTAAAAGCCCATGCTCTAGAACTGGGATTACCTGGAGATTGTCATTATTATTATAATTATTATATACATGTTCATGGTGATGATGGTGGTGGAGGTGAATTCCAAGTTATTCACTTGCTAGCTATACAACTTAGAGGTATTTGCTTAATCATTGTCTCAGTTGCCATATCTGTAAAGTGGGAATAATATTTATGTCTATTTCATAGAACTTTTGAGAATACTTACTGAGTTAAAAGATGTGAAGTAGTTAGATTAGTTAAGTGTTCAATATCATCTTCTCTATAAAATCAAGTTGATTTGGACTTCTATAATAATTCTTACAGCCTTCATGCATTTCTTAAATAAATACTTGTCAAGGTTATATGTGCTAGGCACTCTGTGAGGAAGATAATCACAGTGTAGGATGCCGTGTTTATAGTATTGTATGTTTGACTCCTGTCCTTGTTCTCAGGCCGCAAATCCTATCTATGAAGATAGGCACTTCCATTCATTCTGAAGTCCTCACATAGTAGTTATTCAGTGAATGTACCCTGGGGTGAGTTAAATTTTTCTATGGATTAAAGATCTTTCATAGAGATGGGCCCTGAAGGAGCCATGTTTTACCAACTGATCATCCCTGATCTCATAGGAGAAGTGGATGTGTCTAATGGCATTACTTTGAATAGAGACATATATCACTTAAAGATAGCATCTGATATCACATGAAACTCAAAGTTTATGTAAAAGAATAGCACATCAATAACACAACTACTAACACCACTATCACC
Organism: Homo sapiens; assembly: GCF_000001405.40. Lineage (NCBI taxonomy): Eukaryota > Metazoa > Chordata > Mammalia > Primates > Hominidae > Homo > Homo sapiens. Next base: position 56,155,486 of record NC_000001.11, on the reverse strand, counting down.
ATCACTATTGCTATTACCATCACCACCATCATTATCACCATCACAACCATCACCAACATGTATAGCATCGCCACCATCATTACACCACTACCACCACCCCCACTACCGTCATCACAACTATCACCATTATATATACCGTCATCACCATCACCAGCATCATTATCACTACCACCATGAGCACCCCAACACCATCACCTCCACCACCATCATCACCATAAACATGTATATAATAATAATAAGGACAAAAAGTTAACAGACATTGTTGATTTTCAAGGTTACCCAATAATTTTATTAGATGGGAATTATTTTTATCACATTTGATGACAGAAGTAAGTTTCAAATGCCATCACTTTTTAAATTTGTGTATTTTTTCTATTTTAGAAATAGTAATATCAATGATTTTGCAGGGTATATCCTGTTTGTTCCTCCAGATCCACTTTTCACCTTTCCCCTTACCTGCTTTGTGCTTCAAGAAACTGACTTCAACAGACAGCATCATCTGGGCTTCTTTACCCTGTAGTGTTCAGCTGAGTTCAGCCAATGGAAGACACTAGTAGAAGACTGGAAGGATAGAGGAGAGAAAGATTGGAATATTTATTCCCATCTCATACTACAGTTTTTGTAGTGATGGTTCTTCCTATTGGACAGCTTCCACCTATAACTACAGTTCTCTCCTGGTTCCAGAAACTGCTTTCTCCACTTCTGACCTAGGAGTAGCCACAGCTCCCAGCTGTTGTTAGACCCCAGGTGTATTTTGTCATCTCTTGTTACTTCCCTTAACCCTGCCACAGCTCTGAAAATAGTCCAGTAATTAAATACTTTTTGAGCTATTTCTTTGAGTATACCACCTGTTTGTTTCGTGCCTGGACCCTGAGTGATACAGTATAATAAATAATGTTCAATACAATATACAATGTAAAATACAATAGATAATACAATTCCTAAAAACAAAAAGGAAGAAAGGAAATAAAGAATAAAAAAAGAAACAAAGAAGGAAAACCGGATTTCTACCACCAAAATGAAATTATTATTACAATTATAGTGTATTTACTTTTAGCTTTTTAAATGCAATTTTTATGTAGTCATTACTGTGGTATATATGTATTTATGCTTATTAAGTAGTTATTTTTAACATTGCCTGGTCTCTATCAACATCATTTTTAATGATTGGATAATGGACTATTTGGGGGTGTTTTAATTTATTTTTCAAGTTACAAATGATGCTGTTTCTATATTTTGGTTATATCTATGACAGATTTCCTAAAGTATGATTTTTAGATAAAAGGAAATGAATACTTTTTGACTCTCAATAATATTCTCAAATTTCAAATTAAAGGATTCTATTTAGAGGGTAATATAAGTCTCATTTTTTAAAGCAAACCTATTATCCCTAAATGTCTATTTTTAAAAATTAAAAATATTTAGCAAAAATGTTTTCTATTAAAAAAGGAGAGATTTAAAACATTAATAGTTATTTTCATAATTGTTTTGTTTCATATGGCTTTTGCTACTAATTTTTTTTCCACATTCAGTGTAAGCTTCCTTTTACAATTAGGTTAACATTGTTATTTTTTGCTCTTTTTGTGGCTTTCTTAAAGTTTTTCATAGTCTAAATGCATATTTAATTAATAATCAAAGGTAAAAGCAAACAAAAGTTTTGATATTTTGTGCACCATAGGTTTTTTTGGCATTAATTTTGATTCTTTAAAAATATTGCATTACAGTCTTATTTATCTTGCTGACATCTCTTAAAATTTTGCTCTGGAGGCAAGTGCCTTGCTCACCTCACCCTCATCTTGGCTCTAAGGCCGGTGTCTCACTCATGTTAGCACCTTCAGTCCTTAGCATAGGTTCAGCCCCTCCAAGGTATGTGATGCATCCTGACTGTTTGCTTATTGGGGCAATTTATTATGCTATGTCTTACATATAACGTGTTTTGGAAGAGGGACTCTCGAGCTGATTGACATGAATCATTTCCCTGTCCATAGAAACAGACTTTCCCATGCCCTCTGCTGCCCACTGTCTGGGTAAATGAAGCATTTCTGAGGTGATGGCTTTTGTAAATGTGCCTTAGAGCCCTCTGTTTGATTATCCATTTCATTATGATTGCCTTCCTTTACACAAATACTATCTAAATATTATGACAAGAAATAAAAACAAAACAAGATGAAAAAGGAAAACCAACCATCCATTCTTCTTTCTTCAGGATTAAGCATTGAGCAAAAGTATAAAACAATTACAATTTTACCTAATTGACTGCAGCTGTGCAAACAGACCAGAACCCTAGGAGACTGATGTTCCCCCACCCCTTCCCAACCCTCACCCCATGAACATTTTGATAACTGGGTTTGTTTCACTTTTGCCCAAGGTAAGGTGTGGATAGGAAGAATAAAACCAGGTTGACTGGATGAGAAGGGAAGGAATGTATCCTTTTGTAAGAGTCAAATGGAGCTTGTGCCCACGGGATTTGATTCTTTTGTGGTTCCAATCTCCAAAACTCCCTTGTCAAGAGGAAAAGGTCATCTGGTCTCAAAATAGACTAGAGAAGGTCAGAGCAACAGTCCGTCTTTCTAGGCTTTGTCTTACATAGAGAGGAGGGAATTTTATGATACCTGGTCAATTTGTGTCAGTCTCTTTAAATTTGCTGCGATTGCATTTTATCCTTGGAAGTATGTGTGCTTATCCTCATTTTATAGATTAAGAGATAGGAGCTTAGAATGGTGAATGGTTGAAAGTTAACTTCTCTAACTAGTTCTGGGGAATTTGGGATCTGGACTTCCATGGCTTGATTCTGAAGTCCATGATCAGACATGGTCTTTTATGACATTATGTTCCATAACCAGTATTATCTGCAGGGCTCCTTGAATCCTGGCTTCTACCTTTTCCCCCTCACTTCTGTCACCTACGTACTTTCAAAACCTCCAGCATCCTCCTCCATTCTCCTACTCTCAACTACCTCATTCTTGGATCCTTGTTATCTGCTTCTCTCAGCAGTGGCCTCCCTTGACATCTGAGGTTTTTTTTTTCTTTTTTTTTTTTTTGTATTTTTATTTATTATTATTATTTTTTTATATATATATTTTATTATAAAACTTTGGAGGTTTAGGCTGGGCGCTGTGGCTCATGCCTGTAATCCCAGCACTTTGGGAGGCCGAGGCGGGCGGATCACAAGGTCAGGAGATGGAGACCATCCTGGTTAACACGGTGAAACACCGTCTCTACTAAAAATACAAAAAATTAGCCAGGCGTGGTGGCTGGCGCCTGTAGTCCCAGCTACTCGGGAGGCTGAGGCAGGAGAATGGCGTGAACCCAGGAGGCAGAGCTTGTAGTGAGCCAAGATCGCGCCACTGCACTCTAGCCTGGGCGACAGAGTGAGACTCCATCTCAAAAAAACAAAACAAAACAAAACAAAACAAAAACAAAACTTTGGAGGTTTAAAGCTGAAAGGGGCCACCAGCAAGAACCTTCATAAAGGCAGAAGATAATGAATGTTGTTGGTTTTTGTAAAATCTTTAGCACTCCACATGAATACTTGGAAGACCTTAAGAAGGTGCCAAATGAATGCATGTTAGATAAACATATTTTAAAAAGACACACAAGGACCTTGCTTTCTAAAAATAATGAAATTGTTATATTGATGTCATAAATTTTTACTATAATTCTTATTAGTGATTTCTCAGATTCTACGTGATATATTTAAGATTTTCCAGTTGTACTTTAGTAACAGAATCTTGGATCTCTGACTGCCACAATGTTTATTTTTAAAATGCAAGAAAAGCAGATATGATAAATAAAGAAAACTTTCAAAAGGATTGGTTCAGAGTAAGTCAGAAAGGCTGAAGTGTGAAAATGTATCTGTGTCAGGCACTGAGTATTGCGTAAGTCCAGGGCATAAAGAGCAGAGGTCAAAGCTGCTGAATTTGGAATCACAAGTCTTGGTTCTACATGAAACTCTGATCAGCCCCTTGATCTTAGACAAATCCCTTGCTCTCTCTTAGCCTAAACTTTCTCTTATTTTAAAATGATGTGATTGAGACATCTGACAGATATCTCTGGTCTTTTGAACTCTAAAGTCATTGGTTCAGATCTAAAGTCATTGGTTCTCTGAAAGTGAGTGCTCATAATTATGGAGTTTATATTCTCAGAGAGGCATATGTCAGTTTTAGAGGGTAATAATTTACAATCATCTCCTGTAAACGGATTCTCTTCACATACATCACAGAGCTGCATGGTGGTGGTAGCTTTTGCCATGTCTTCATCCAAGAGACGCCTTGAACAGTGCCTTGCATCCTCAGTCCTGGGGACATGTTTGTGTGGAAACGTGACTTGCAGGCGATTGAACTGAACCCAAAGGAATGTTTCAGGTTTGCTCTTGGCAAAGTCCTCCTTTCTTTGCTCCCTAATGAAGAACTGGAGGGCCAAGAGAGGCCTCACATAGCTCTTCTTGGCTGTTGCCTCCCTCTTTAAACAATGCTGGATGCATTCTCTAGAAAGAAAAGGAAACATATGGATTGAATTTCCCTCAAATGCACTGTGGTCTAGGAGTGGATTGGAGGCTGGTGGAAGGGGGGGAGTGGGGCAGAGAGGAAGGCTTTGGTGCAGCACACCAGGTAACTTAGTAAAACCTGGGTACCCTGAGAAGCGGTGGGGTGAACGTCAGGGGTCAATAACTAGCTGTGACTAGGTGTGCTCCATACTGGCCACAGTAGGACAGACCTTTATAGAGGACCCTTGGAAATGAAGGAGTGAGTAGAATGATGTTGTATTGGGAAACAGGGAAAAGATGTGGTCACTGAGTCAGGCAGAGGCTTCCAAAATTTTTGAAGAGTCCTCAAAAGTCCGAATGTCAAGGGATGTTTTTTTCTGAGGAAAGCAGGTCTGGCTCTATTTTGTGCCTTGTGCAATGGGATTGAGAGTTTGGGATTTAATTTAGTTTAATGAGAACAGCATAAAACAGTGTGTACAAATCCTACTTCTCTTGCCAAACTACTGAAGACTCACTAAATGGAGAGTCATGATGGGGCTCTCTCTTTGGCATTGGAGAAACAATTGCATATGGCAACTTGGAGGGCAAGAAAGGGAAGATGGAGACTGTTTGAGAGTAGAAGTGCACCATTGTGCTTTTGTGCATGTTGTGCTTCCACTTACAAAGTCCTCTCATCCTTCTTTCTCTTTGTGACCAACTCCCTCTGCTTCTTCAGTGCCTGAGCTTCCTGCCATGATACCCAGGCTTGCAAGATCATGTTCCCTCAGGAGTGACAAGCTGTACAAAGCTCTCTTGCTACATGTACATGAGGACTTGAATTAATCTGTAATTTTACATGTGTATAGATAGCTTCTTCTAGACACCGGCGAGCATGTGGTACTGCTCTCTCTTGATCCTGATCCTAGATACCTGTTTCTGTCCTACTGGTCCAGAGTGAAATCCTAAAAACTGAGCACTTGACTGTTGGCCTGACTCATTCCTAGTACTAATATGTCCTTTCCCTTGGGGAAACTGGTGCCTGACTTCCATCATCTCCTTTAGAATGAGTCGTTTTAGTGTACTTGAGAACCAAGAACAGCAAATGCTCTGAAGCGTGAATCACATGACGCCTCTTTCCTTTGAATCAGATTCTCCCTGGTTTTAAACTTAAGATTACACTGAGTCTTGCCCATCTCCATTTGACTTGATTTTGAATTGCCAGGTCCATTGGGCGAGGGGCTGATTTTGTTGGTCACAGTCTTCTTTCCCAGTCTCTAAATTTGTTTATCCCTTTTAGTGATGGGAGCTCCCAACATGCCATGTCATAAATGAAAATATCATTTAAGACTTACTCTAATGTTAATTCTTTTGTGGAGTCTGTCCTCCCTTATTTAAGAAAAAATAGTGGCTCCCTTTCACTTGCTTCTCATATTCATTTTGCATTTATTATGTTGTATTATAATTGTGACCTCTTCGAAGGGCAGAGACTAGGCATGCTTTGTAATTGAATTGTTATAGTGATACAGTCCTATTTTCATTCCTTGATATCTCCTAGAGTGTATGGCAAGACAAGCGTGCTCAATAAAAGTTTCTGGAGCAGATGAAATATTTATTTCCGTGCCCCACTCTTACAGATGAGAAGGTGGCACTCAAAGAAGCTTGATGACTTAACCAGATCCTCAGTGAAATCCTTTAGGGCAAAACCATGTTTAATTTATCTTCATACTTCCAATGCCCATCACAGCACCTGGCATGTATTAGACAATCAATATATGTATTGTATTGAATTGTAAAGGAATTCTGAAGACCACAAATCTACTTAGTGTCAGGGCTAGGGCTATAAACATGTATTGGCATTTAAAATCTCAGGCTATAGTAAGATTAAATTGTAACCAAGATGTTCAAGGTATTAAAAAAAGAGGTAACATGACGACATCTCTTAAAGTTTAGTTTTGGCAGATAGTTCTTATCTATTCTTCCTTTTTACCGGATATCCCTTTTTATTGTCCTGTCCAAATCATACAACACTTAAAATATGTGCTTGGCTTAACACTGAGCAAGCCATTTCCTTTCTTTTTGATAAATATTCCAGATTGTGAAAAAAAAATTGCCTTAAGTAGCAATTCTACAATGAGATTTATTCAGGAGAGGACATCTATAAAAAGTTTTTTCATGTTTCCCGGATAACTTGGGAACCTATGTTTTCTGAAAATACTGGATATACACAGATGCTAAGAAATGTCTCAAGTGAGCAGAGTAAAATACAATGGTTATAGATGCTAGAACTGCAAGGGGCATCAGAAGGAAAAATGAATTATTTTGCTATGTTACCTCCTGCACACCAGAGGGCTCTGCACAAATTGTGGTTGCCTGCTTTTCTACTTGGAGATTACAGGTTTAGTTAAGAGACTGGTAATCTTTCTGTAAAGGGCCAGGCAATAAATATTTTAGTCTTTGCCCATCAGCTGATCTCTGTTGCAACAACTTGACTCTGCTGCTTTTACATGAAAGCAACCATGGACTACGTGCATATGAATACGTGGCTGTGTTCCAATAAAACTTTAGTTATGAGCCCTGATCTTTGAATTTCACATGACTTTCATGTACCATAAAATGGCATTGTTATTTTAAAATTTTTTAACCGTTTAAAAATGTAAAACTTCTTAGCTCACAGGCTATTCAAAAACAGGCAGGCCAAATTCAGTTTGTGGGCTACAGTTTACTGACTCCAGGTCCAGTTAAATAATAGTAATAATAATAATAATAATAACAACAACTTCCATTTGATGAATCCCTATCTTGTGACAAGCACTATATACATTTTACCACTCATTTTTCAGGTGAGGTGGTAAACAAACATTCAGAGAGGTTAATTTGGTCAATGTCACAAAGCAAGTAAGTAGAAGAGCTGAGAACCAAATGCAGATTTGTCAGTCATGGAATCCATGCTTTTCACCATTATGCCATGCTGCCTCTTAATTTAAAATATGCAGTTTTACAAAACTTACTGATCAAATTGTGGCTCATATTTGCAGGCTTTTGTTAATAGGGCACTCTAGAAGGAGTTAAGATGAGATTCAAGTGTTGGTACCAGCAATGCCAATAATTCCCCATGTGACTTTGAGGAAAGCTCTCGAGTTTTCTGAGTCCTCTCAACCATAAGACAAAGGGATTGGAAGAGGGTATAGTGATTTTCAAGGGCAGTGGCAATTTTGTCCCTCAGGGACACTTTGTAATATCTAAAAACATTCTTGCCTTCATTTGCCACTGATAACTTGCAGGAGTGTGCTATTGACTTCTAGTAGGTAGAGCCCACGGATGGTACTAAACATCCCACAATGCACAAAACAACTCTTCCCCCTCCACCCCACCCACACACACAACAAAGAATTATCCAGTCCAAAATGTCAATAATGCTTAGATTGAGAAACCATGGACTAAGGTTTGAGGAGCTAATGTACCAATTATCTCCTCAATTTCTAAGAACTTGAATTTTTTTATTCATTTCATGAATTCATTTGGATTCATTTAATTAAAATCCAACTCATTTCTCCTCTGTGAATCATAGATTCCTTTTTTATAAAACAAGAGGATTAAACAATATAATCCCAGAGATTCTTTCCAGCTTTAAAAAGTTCAAGCGTATGATTAATAGGGTAATATTAAAAATAAATGTTGTGCTATTAATTCCAAGATAACACGAGTCATTTTTATACTTTTGTCTCATTAACTAGTGCTGCCCAACTCCCTCATCCTCACAGGGCAAAGTTTGTAAATTTGAAGTTCATGGCCTGAACTCAGCCTGCAGATGTGTTTTGTTTGGCCAATAGAGTGTATTAGAACTTTGAGAGTTAGTGGCCAACATTTAAAAGACTGGATATTTCCAATCAACATCCACATTTCCAGATTTTTTTTTTTTTAAATCATAAGATCTAGCAACTCTGGACTTGATTCTTGCATGGCAATGGCTAGCTGAGGCTGAATAAAGCTATTTCTTTAGATGAGGCCTAGTTCTCCTTTAACCAGACTTCATAGCTCACAAATTTGAACTATACCTGGCCATCTTCATTTATTTATATGACTTCTGTCCCTACCTGCCTGGCTCCTCAAGGTAGCTGAATTTGCTCCTCCTGTCCTAGAATTCTCCATGTGCTCATGGAATGCCCAGAAATGCACACGGTGGGCACTTAGAATTGTGGAATTTTAGAATAAATGAAATACATGTTAAACCCTGCAATTGAGTCTAAGTAAACAAGAGGATAGGAACAGGATGAGGAGAACAGTCTTTGCAGCAGCTTGTAAAAACATCTTAAGAGTTTTAACGGACAGTATGAGGCAATGGTGTTCTGTGCCTGCCAACTAGCTAATGTGATCCCTGGCTATATTATTAAGAGTGCAACATTCTGATGGGACATAGGGCAGTCCTGCTCTTCTCTCTGCTGCTCAGATGCATTTGACTCATCATGATTATTTCTTGGCACTACACTTGAAGTGAAGTGATTTTAACAAGGAGTTGAACAATGAATTGGTGAGATGGCTTAGAATCTCTTCACTGGAGTGAGATTTGAAGAAGCTGGGGCCACTGATTCTGGAGAAGAGAGGGCTCATGAGGCACAGGTGAAACTTTTCAAATGTTAGCATAGGTGTCCTGAGGAGGAGGTACAGATAAGCACCATGACCTTCAACACACGCTTCCACCCCTCTCTTTGAGCTTCAGTTTTCTCATTTTTATAATAAGGGGATTTGATTTTTAATCCCCTGAATAAAAATTAATCTTGAATAAAGCTATATAGCTACGCAAAATAAATGAATTTACAGCTGCTTTGGTTGGGGGGTTTAGGAGGCCTAGAGCCTCGACTACTTAGCTCTTCTTTTCAGCCCTACAAGTTTCACAACTGAGAGAGCTCTCCAGAGCCATGGAGTTTGAAAAACCCTGATCTAGATTTCTAAAATTGCTACTAATTCCAAAGCTTTTATATATCACTCAGCCTGTGTTTTCTGGCTGTGAAACAACAAGGAAGGCTTTTGGAATAAGCTTAGGGATGAGATGCACTATCAAAGGCAGGGATGGGGAATAGAGAGTCCCAGTGAAAGAAACAGTAAGAGTCATGGAGAACTACACAGACTGGCTGAAACCTACTTTGCTTAAAGTGAGTCAATCCCCACTCCATGACAACTGTCTACTAACAAATGATGATGGCAGCTTTGTCTTTGTTTCTTTAGATGCTTTTGAAGTCTGGCTCTTGTCGACAGTGTGGTTTTCTCTTTAACACCAAGTCCACCTCCCCACCCCCTTGCATTTTGTGGTTGTCATGCAGTTTGAGGATTACCCCAGTGCAGGAGGTGGGTCCCCATTGGGTTAAGCAGTCATGGTGATCCATCTTTCTTCACAGTGATTGGTTCAGGAGCCCAGGCCCCAGCCAATCAAAGTGTTTAGAATCCCTGTAATGAGGATTGTTAAGGAATGAATGTATCACCCAGCTTGGGCAATGAGAGCTGCAAGGGGATGTTGGCTGAGGCACCCTTTAGGAAACGTTTCTTCATTTGTAAGAAAGAAGCAAATGAAGAGATAGTTTCTGTCTTCCTCTGGATATTGGAATGTGGTCATGTGTGCACTAATGGCCTAGAGTTGCTGCAGCCATTTTAGTGATAGCCTGAATAGAAAGTTGGCCTGTGGAGAAAGACTGAGTCAAAAGAACTTCAGGACAGTGGAGCCGTCAAATCTGAAACCTGCTGACCTTCTGGACTCGTAGGCATGTAAGCCAATAACTTCCCTTCTTTCCTCATTATCTTAGCCAGTTTCATTTAGGTTTTCTGCTTCTTTAAGCTTAATGAATCTCAACTGATACACCAGCTCTTCCAAGCCAGAAAGGTTTCCTTTCGATGACGGTGCATGGGAGTAGTGAGTCATGTTGAAGAATGGATCAGACACATCTTATGTCCCACCTCAGAGTCTCTTGGCCTTACCTGCCTTTTGAATCCCAGATTGCTTATTCTACCCCAGCTGCTGCAGCAGTCTGATTCTGTGATAACTCACAGTGTTAAACTTCCTAAGGCCAACCAACATCACTCCTGAAATCAATAGTGGCTCACAACACTTTTGGACTCATACAAAGACCAAGCTGCGGGCACGAGACCTGGCTTCCTGAGCAGCTGCTATAGGAGCCAGGTGATGCAACTTAGGATTGTGGGGGAGTTAAATCTCTGGAAGGTAAAGTTTGAGCAATGGAATTTAGGAGATGTGAAGGAGCTGGCAGACACATTTCCATTCCTCCATGCAATAGACTGAACCAAGGAGCATGTTCCTCCCGGAACAGCCCATGTGGAAATATCTCATATAGGTAGACTGATGCCCCTGCTGAAATGCAACACCTTACGTTTATAGTTCTGCTTCAAACTGCCTCGCTTCCCTTTTCGCTCAATTTTGCAGCCATAAAAACATACCTCCTAAATAAAGCATTAGCATTCAATACTTACCTCAGGCTCTGTTTCTAGGAAAGCCATTAAGCTAGAAAGGAAAAGATCAAAGAAGAAATAAATGGTGGAGAATTAGACTATTGCCTGGGTGTGGTTTTGGTATTTAGCAAATCAATCTTAGATTAACAATCTGGGTGGAATGCACACCATATAGTATATACTGGTTAAGAGCTCAGAATATATAAGTCCCAACTCTGCCCTTTACTAATTGTGTGATCTTGTTTAAGTTACTTAAGAATCTAACTTGTCTAATAGGGTAATTGTGAAGATTAAAGAAGATAATGCATATAAAAACATTTATCACAAGGTTTCTCAACCTTAGCTCTATTGACGTTTTGGGCCAGATAACTTATTTTTGTGGGGGACTGTCCTGGGCATTGTAGCATGTATGTTAATATCTCTGGCCTTTGCCCACTAGATACAAGTAACCTGACCCAGTTGTGGCCATAAAAAAATGTTTCTATAAATAGCCAAATGTCCCATGGAGGCATAATTTCCCCCATTTGATAAATACTGGCCTATCCTTAGCTGACAGCCAGCACCAAATGCTGTACATGTAAGTGAGGTCACCCTAGACCTTCTAGCTCAGCCAGCAATCCTGCTGAATGCACCCGTATGAATGAACCCCTCCAAAACTACCAGAAGAATCATCTAGCCAAAACATAAAATTATGAGAAATCATGAATTACTGCTATTTTAAGCCACTAACTCTCGGTTGATTTGTTATACAGAAATAGAAAACTAAAGTGAATTGGTAACTAGAAGTATAATGCTGCCATAACAAAAATCTCAGCTATGACATTGGCTTTGGAACCAGATGGTGGATAGGGGCTGGAAAGAGAAGAGAGAAGAGAAGTTAGAGGAGCAGAAAGGAAACTGTGATTGAAGACAAAAAAGAGGTGGGGGACAACCTTGGTATAGACTGGCAGAATTATAGTAATTTGGAAGATAAAAAAAAGTACCGATTGAACTTGTTGGATCGGTCTAAAGAAAGATTCAAGCAGAAGGATAAAAATACTAAATTTTTAACTTTAACTCCATATAATACAGTATGAAAAGAGAGATTAGCTAATTAAAGAACTGTAGCATTTGCAAGCAGAATTAAGAGAAAATGTAAGAGAACAAGTACTTGCTGGGTTGGAAAATAAAACTGTTTTATACTTTATGTCTCTCCAGCTGGCAAAAGATTATCAAAGTAAAAAATGGCTTCAGGGCAAAGATCAGATCAAACCAAAGGTGTAGCTATAATATCTTTTGTTAAGATCTCATAAGATTTAAGATGCCTAATCCTTTTAGCTAGAAAAAAAAACTTCTAATCATCTCAGTGGCATTGTCCCAAAGAAGCCTAACTTTTCTAAAGTGGATAGAGGTCTGTCTCAAAAAAAGAATTGTGGATTTGGCTTTTGGGCACTTGGAGTAAGTGCTGTTAAGATGAAAGGGGAGAACCACAAAGATTTTAAAAGAATTATGTTGCAATAGAATTAGTAACCTGAATTTTGGTACCTTGAACTGAAAGGGATGAAGACAGTTCACATGACAAGAGGCTTGTGAGAAGCAGAGCACACAGGCTTCTTGAGAAAGCTACTCAGATACAAGCAAGATTCATTTCCTTTAGAAAAAGAAGAGCCTTTTAGAAAGCTAGACAAAGAGCTCAGAGAGCAAGGTGAAGATTCGAGGAGAAGAATGAGCCCACTCCAGGGGTAAAGAACCTGTTTCCAATCGAGGAACATTTTCTGCTCTCAATGCAGGAAGCCTGACAAATGCGACATCTAAATTTCAAGACTGCTAAGAGTTAGTGACTTCTATGTGTCTCCCATTATCCCATTAGGAATGGGATTGTCTTTTGTAGATCATTTTCCCCTAACTCAGTGTTATATGTTGGGTGTGCCTGGGAAAGATACCTTGTCTTTTTAATTTACAGGGCTCTGGAGTTGCTACTGTTCAAGATTTGCTGTGCCTGAAACCCACACTTAAGAAACTTCATTTACATACAGACCTGAAGAACATCATAAAATTCTGGACTTTGAACTTGATGCCATAATCTATGAGATAACAAACCTCCAAAATGGCCTCCTATGGAGTTTTATAGTGTCCTCCCATACTGAATAGGGCTGGCCTTGGTAGTTAACGAACTACTAGAGAAAAAACTATGTCTGTCTTTCAAAGCAAGGCCACAAATGACACTTTAGATTTTTCTTTGCTCTCTGTCATATCACTCACTCTGGGAAAGCCAACTTCCAACCTTACAGGGAGGTCGACTTAGAGAGGAATGGAAGTGTCTTGTCCACAACCACGTGAGTGAGCCTTCTGGATAGTGGGTCCTCCAGTCCTATTCAAGCCTTCACATGGGACATTTTGACTGAAACTTCGTGGCTGACATTTTGACTGAAACTTTGTGGGACACCCTAAGAGAGAAGCACTCACCTCCTGAATTTTTGACTAACAGAACAGTGAAAGATAATACATGGTTATTGTTCAATTTTAACAAGGGCAGCTACATTTTGGAATTATTTGTTATGAAGCAATAGGTAACTGAAATAATTGGGATTAGACTTTTGGAGGTCTTAGTTTGGATGTGAGAGTATTTTACATGTGGGAGGAATATGAATAATTTGTGGCAAGAGGGCAGAATCTATAGATTGTTTAATGGCCACAAATTCCTCTCCTCCCAGTATGCATGCATGCTCCCTTTTCAATGTAACATTTCTGGCTCTCCCATCCAGAGATGGACCTTTGTTTTAAAAAAGCATGTTATTGAGGCTGGGTGTGGTGGCTCACACCTGTAATCCTAGCACTTTGGGAGGCCTAGGCAGATGGATCACTTGAGGTCAGGAGTTCAAGAGCAGCCTGGCCAACATGGTGAAACCCCGTCTCTACTAAAAATACAAAAATTAGGCAGGTGTGGTGGCAGGCGCCTGTAATCCCTGCTATTCAGGAGGCTGAGGTGGGAGAATCACTTGAACCCAGGAGGCAGAGGTTGCAGTGAGCCGAGACTGTGCCATTGCACTCCAGCCTGGGCAACAGGGCTAGACTCTGTCTCAAAAAAAAAAAGAAAAATTATTGAATCTGGACATCCTAGTGAATCACTTTTCTAAATAGAATTGGCAGAAGTAAATTTATGTGACTTCTGAAACTAAGCCTTGCAAGGCCTTGCTGCTTCTTCCTTTGTCCTCTTGGATGGCTGCCCTGAGAAGGCATCTAGGAAAGTCAGTCCAGTCACCTAGAAGGTGAGAGGCCACATGGAGAAGAACTCAGGCACCCCAACTGATAGCCAATAGCCTCTCCCAGACTTGTGAATGACGCCAACTTCCAGCCCAGGCAGATCTTTAGCTGAGTGTGGCTATGCAAGCAAGCCTTGGCACATTTGCCAGAGGAACCTTCAAGCCAACCTACACAATTAGTTGCTATTGTTATGGGGTTGTAAGTTAAGCAGCAAAAGACAAAACAAACTTTATTGTAACAATTTATATAAAGTATAGTCTTGAACTTGTTGTTTCTCAATAATATCAAAAGCTTTATTTCAAGAAATTATTGTTGATGACATCTTGGAATATTGTAGAATAATGGCCCTTATGTTCTATGTAGACACAACTTAAAACAGAATTACTGGCCCTTTTTTTTTGTGGAATCAGCCGCATGCCCTGTGTACTTGCTCCATATTGTCTATCCAATACAAAAAACACATACCTGTCTTAGTCAATTGTCTGTTGGTTTAACAGGATACCTGAGATTTGGTAATTTATAAAGGAAAGAAGCTTATGCCGCTCATAATTCTGGAGGCTGGGAGGTCCCAGATCCAGGGCCAGGCATCTGGTCCGCTTCTGATGATAACCTGTGAGAGATGAAAACTCACTCCCACAAGAAAGGCACTAATCCCTCTTAATGAACTAATCACCTCCTAAAGATATTCTTTCTCAGCACTGCCACATTGGAGACCAAGCTTCAACATGAGTTTTGGTGGGGACAAATCATATTCAAACAATAGCAATGTCCAAATCTGTAATATTTAGCTATGCATTTTATGGGACAATTTACTTAAAATTGAATTTTTTAGATTTCTTGACTAATTCAACACATTTGCATTTGCTCTCCTTCTCTTACATATACAACTTTATACTTGGTTTAAAGCAGGTCATCACAGAGGCATGGATATTATTTATTATTGAATTTGATTCTCACAACAACCCTATGATGTAGGAAGGATAGATATTTTAAATCTTCATTTTGTAGATGAGGGAAACTCAGTAATACTAGATCCTTCAACCCATGATGTACATTTAAGGTAAAGGGATTTGCTTGCATTCATTCTTTGCATTTTGTTCCCTTCCTGCTACAATGGTGTCTAGGTAATTACTAAGGGCCTCCACATTTAACATTCAGTGATCTGAATGAATTCACTGTACACTATGCTATAATTCATCTGGTGGGAAACTGAATGCCAAAAGACTGTTAGCTTTAGTAAGTGGTTACTGAGTTGCTTGGTTGTCTAGGCAGTTTGGTGGTGGGAGATTCTGTTTCAACGTCTGTCTGGGGAGGCAAACAAACAAAGCTTTAAACCCTGTTGACACGTGTGCCCTGGGTGACTCAAGATTCTGACAGGAAGATAGTCTCTGGCGTCCCGTTACCTTACGACTGGAGCAATGTTCCACTGGATGTGGAATTCCTTGGAGAGGAACAATGTGGTTAGTTAAATTATGGGCAACTGTCTTTAGGATGCAAATCAGGAAGGCAGTGGGCTCAAGGTAGACACTTAGGGGAATGGGTGGTTTTAAGAGACTCTGAGTCAGGTCTGAGGGAATGAATGGAGGATATGTACCATGGGAAATCATATTATATGCTCTGCAAAGTGAAAAGCAATAAGTAGACCACTTTTATCTTTTCCAGTTTACCACATCCTCAAATTCACACCACACACCTACAGATATAGTTTATTTTCCAGCGCTATAGGATTCTTGCCATTCTTTGAATGCAGATCCTCCCATAAGGTATTTCACAGTCTAGGTAGAAAGGCATATAGCAAATATAATAATGGCACTGCCCTTTAGTGTGTGTTACCCAAGGTAAGTAACTTATTCTTTCTGAGTCTAAATTACCTCTTCTGTACAATGGTAATGATAATATTATTTACCTTACATGGTTTGTGAAGAATAAAACATTTACAAAATGTCCAGCATATAAATAACACGGACTAAATATTTCCTGTTAAAAACTAAGTTACTTGCAAATACCTAAGCCTCAAAATATAGAACTAGAACTATGTTCCAGTGGATGAACTAACATATACTGAGTGCCAATTATGTGTGATGTACTTTGCTAGGCTCTTTCGTACACTCTTATTACATGTAACCCCCATGAAACCCTCGGGACAAAATTATTTCACAAATCAAGTTTCAGAGAAGGCAAATAACATGAATAAGGCCTTGATGGTGTACCATTTTAGCATTTGATTTACATAGAAAAATCTTAAGGACAACAAGAAAAAAAAGTTTTTTTTTTTTTTTTTTGAGACGGAGTCTCACTCTGTCACCCATGCTGGAGTGCAGTGGCATGATCTCGGCTCACTCCAACCTCCACCTCCCAGGTTCAAGCGATTATCCTGCCTCAGCCTCCTGAGTAGCTGGGATTACAGGCACGCACCACCATACTGGGCTAATAATTTTTTATGCATAACATAGCACACACACAATTGATCAATTCTATCCCATTAAAATTAGAGATTTCTATTTACTAAAGATATCATAAACAGGGCTAAAATTAAAATCCAAAGCTGGAAGATATTTGTAATATATACATGACAAAGGATTAGTATCCATAATACACATACACACACACACACACACACACACACACACACACACATTCTCCTAAAAATTCTTAAGAAAAAGATCAAAAACTTAAAGGGCAAATAAGCAAAAAATACAAACAGGACTTTTACATAAGAGAAAACATATGTGTTTCATAAAGTTATGAAGATATTCAAGCTGATTGGCAATTGAGGAGATGCACATTGAATACCTTTTTATGACCACTAGGTTGACAATAAAAAGTTTGACAATGTCACTATTTCCAAGAATATGAAGAAGAAAATTATCAAACTCCATGGGAGAGAGTGTGAGTGAGTATACTAACGTTAGAACGTAATTTTGCCTTGCTTAGAACAGAAGAGTGACACTCCTTATGACTCAGCACAGCCAATTCTAGATATGTTCCACTGATAAATTTCTGTCCAGCTGCACACAAAAACAAGGTCAATATGTTTAAAACAGCGTTATTCAGAATAGCAAAAACAACAACAGCAACAAATCCAAATGTCTACCTGTGGTAGACAGATAAATAAAGTATGGTATAGCAGCACATTGTACACCAATGAAAATGAATAAACCACAGCTATACTAGCAACATAGATAAATCTAAAAAAAAGTTCAGCCAAAAAAGCAAGTCATTGAGGAATACATTCTGTATGATTCACTACATAAAGTCCGAGACCAGGAAAAATAAATGGACAAAACAACAAAAAAGAAAGTGATTAACATTAAGTTTAGCTTAAAAAGTTCCTCTAGTGTGGAGGGGGAGATGATATCAGGGATGACCATACACGAGGGTTTTAAAGTTCATGCACTCTTTCATATGTGTGATGTGTTTCAAATGAAAAAAAGATTAAACAAACACTACCTCATTTCACCTCCCAAATCTCTAGCATTGAGTCACAAAAGACACAGAATGAAATTTATAATACCATATGATTTATATAAGTTAAAGACATATACACACCCAAGCCAACACTACATATTTTACAAGTAAGCATAAATATTTAAGGACATATTTCAAACTCATTAACATGAAGGCCTGTGGCAAGAAGGGAAGTAGGAATCAGACAGGGGGAAAAGATAGAATGGGTCAAGAGAAGTGCCATGAATGAATTGTTTTTAAGTTATGTAGGGTTATTTATTCCAACTATGTTCCCAAAAGGATTTCAGGAGGCAGAAAACATGGCAAAAATATTATTGTAGTTCTCCAATCCATGTTCCGCATCTTTGAGGCATTTAATTTTCTAGATTCCATGGAGGTCAACAGGAACGTTCTATATTGTAAAGGAATTCAAATGATTTTGACAAGGAGCAGTTTATTTTCTGAAAGCTAAGCTGGGTATTAGGGAATGGCAGGCCTTGGAATTAGAGAGGGAAGCTGAGGACAGAACGTGTGTTGGGCATGACTAGGGCATTTTCACGCTTCATTCCTATCCCACGAGCTCTGTTTTTCCTCACCCTGTCAGGACTGAAGGGAAGGAGAAAGCAGGTGCCCCCTTTCCCAGTCTAATATTACACAATTGATCATACAGAATGGAGTCCCTTGCCAAGCTAGATGGAATGCAGGTTTTTTGGTTGCCCTGGTAGAGCCACAGCTGATTGCTCACTACAGATCCTGCAGTTTATCCCAAGGGTTTGTTTCTTCAGCTACTCTGAGGCTTCAAGCAAAGAAGAAATGGAGTAGGATGGTCCAGATTTCAGGACCACCACTTGGCCCACATACCTGCTACACAGACAATTTGCAAGAAGAGATAACTAAAGGAGTGAGGATTCCCAGAAGAGGAGTGAAATCAATGGCATAGAAAACATGAGCAGATAGATGGGTTTACCTTAATCAGCGAAAGGAGAAACCTCTTTCTTGTTATTTCCAAGATAGGAGTAACAGATGTAAGACATGAAGATAACTTCATATATATATATATATATATATATATATGTGTATATATATATATATATATATCTTACATCATATATATGAAGTAACTTCATATATATAACATAAATATGAAGATAACTTTATAGATAGGGGAGGGAGGGAGATCATGATGAATGCTTCAATTTTCTTGCAAAAGTAGACAGTTATAGTTGGATACAAAACTTTCTGCTAAGTGCTAAAAAGGCTAAGTCACAGAGCCTTAATCCCAAAAGTTTGCATTCTACTTTCAAGTGCTCAACTTACATGTATATATAGGGCAACCTATGCATGTCTAAGGATACTAAAAAAAGGGTGCTCAGAGGAAGGACAGAAACAATCAGTGTGGCTTGGCATAGTCAGTGATGGTGTTAGACACACCCTTGGTGCTCCATTTGCCCTTGCCCTTCACCCACCTCTAACTTCAACTACAGTTGTAGGCAGTTCAGAATCACTTCCCTCTGCCAGAGTCCCTGTCTTTCAGCTTCTTCCTTCAGGACCCTGGGAGCATCTTCAGCCTGCTGGAGGGCACAACCTGGGGGAGATGTTACACCTATGTTTTCTAGTTTGTAGAGAGTAAAGTCTATACACTTTACTTCCAATGGGTGAGTAGCTGTAAATCTTTGCCTGCAGGCTCTCTCTGACAGCAAGACCCCACTCTGTCTATATGCTGGGAATGAAGGAAGTGCCAGGAAATTAAACTCCCACCCCCAACCCATGGCATAAACCTCAAGTGATGACTTATGAAAGTGGTGGATAAAGTCCCTCCAGCCAATCTCTCTGCAGGGATAAATCTGAGGCATGTTTCTACACTGGCAGCTCCCCAGCAGGATTCAGCTCCAGCTGCCTATAGTGGTAACTTGCCTGCTCTCACACCCTTGATTGGCTTCCTTCCTTCACACTATCAAGTTCCCACTCTCCTACAGGTGCTTCCTTGCATCACCTCTTAAATGACTTTCACTCGAATCCTTGTCTCAGGCTCTGCTTCTAGGACAACCTAAATAAACTAAGACAGTACTGTGGGGGCAACCCTCATTCAGGAACAAGGGAAGGGGAACAAGGAGTGAAGAAGCCTATGGATAAATGCTCCAGTTTCCTATACAACTGGTGGATAATTGTGGAAGGCATGCCTTACATTTCTCAGGAGGTCCTGGCAATGGCGACCTTGACAATATACCTTATATTGGTTTTTCCTTTCCCATTTCACTCATCACACACTCTCACTTCTGCTTCTTGGGATTGTTCTCAAGTAAATGACCAGCATCTGGGTCTCTGACTCAGGCTTTTGTTTTCTGAGTAACTCAAACTAAGGCAGAAAGCTTTGTGGGAAAGAAGGTGTAAAATGAGCTGGAACATTAACTATGGATAAGAGTTAAGGGAAAGGTCAGAGAGGATGCCAGGCAGGAAAAGAAAATGACCAAAGGTAGGGAGGTAGAACCGGCTAGAGCATTTTCAACATGCCAGATCCCCAGAAGGCTCTTGGTGGTAAGCTGTGAGGAGAACACCAGAAAGGTAATTGTCTTCCTTTCTTAGCCTCTTGAGAAGAAACTGCCTCGCCTGAATTAGCTGGCACTGACGATACATATAATGCTGCTGCATGTGCTTATACCCTGCATCTGAAAGTCCTCTGGATGCCCTGTTTCCTGTCTGTCTTCAAAGTTGTCTGGACCATTTTTACTGTAGCTTCATATTTTTTCTCTGTTCTTTGCCACTCACTTGGCCACCTGGTGTAGACTCACTAGACCAATAGGATGCTGGCTCTTGGCAGTCAGGTAACCATACAAGCTAGGGAATATGGGTATAGCATCACACCAGGCTGCACTCGCCAGCAGGCTGAAGATGTTTTCAGGGATGAGGCTCTGGCTAATTGGGAAGGGGTGCCCCGGCATTGGCCCGTAGACTGTGCTCTCCCTGCTCCTGGCTTCCCCCTTCAGAGGAGAGGAGCTAACTGGGAGGTAAGGATGATATCAGGCCTCGGTCTGCTGAGGATCGGAGAGCTAAAGGGTTAGCTAGGAGGAAATCCAAGCTAGCCAGCAGAGCCTCCTGGGATGCTGGACAGGTGGCCACAGGAGGTCAATATGAGTCTGTGCAGGATGCTGGAATTGGTGTGGTCATTGTTAACACAAAGTAAGATCTTTAACAAGCCACATGTGGCAGGGTGCAGTGGCTCATGCCTGTAATCCCAGCACTTTGGGAGGCCGAGGCAGGTGGATCCCCTGAGGTCAGGAGTTCGAGACCAGCCTGGCCAACATGGCGAAACCCCATCTCTACTAAAAATACAAAACTTAGCCAGGCATGGTGGTGGGCACCTGTAATCCCAGCTACTCAGGAGGCTGAGGGAGGAGAATCACTTGAACCCGGGAGGTGGAGGTTGCAGTGAGACGTGATTGCATCATTGCACTCCAGCCTGGGTGACAGAGCGAGACTCCATCTCATAAAACAAAACAAAAACAAACAAACAAAAAAACCCAAAAACAAGCTATAGGTCTCTAGTTAGAGGGCACTTCTGCACAGTGCTCCTTCTTTCCCCTCATGGGCTGCTGGCACACAGAGGAAGGTAAGTGATATTCCTAGTAATGTAATGACTGCACCTGGGCTTCTGCTTCAAAGCTTGTCTCAGGAATTGCAAGTTATACCATCCTGCTTTTCCTCATCACCTGGTCCTGCTCAGACAATCTGCCTGCTCAGTGAAGCATGAGGTCCGGAAGGTTTGCTTTGCTTCAGCTCATTTGGGGAATCACTGGGGGTTTTCCCTGCACATTTGTTCATTGTTAGGGCTTCCTCCCATCAGCCTTCCTAGATGGCTGGATCTTGTCCATGTACTGCGAGATATTCCAGAATGACTTGCTGGGAAAGAGAAACGGCTGCATCTCACAGGCGGGAATGTCCAGTGATGTGGTGGTGTGGGCCTGTGTTATAGCTCCCATGAGAGGCTGCCAAAAAGACAGGTAAGGGCATCAGATCCCATCTGGGTCAGGAGATGGAGTGAGCTCTGAAGCTGACACTCTCTGTGCACTTCCTTGTCTCCTCTCTGGGCCTCAACTTTCCATCTACAAAATGCAGATGATCTCAAAGAGCTTTTCTAGGAATGCACAGTCATGTTTTATGGGGGGACCCATTCCAGAATTGCTCCAACTCATATTGATTTTGCAATCTGTATGCTCACTAAATACATTCTTCATTCAGGTCTCAAATGTCTCTGGCCTGGAAGAAGACAACAGCTTTTTGATTGGTCTCCTTGTCTTCCATATGCCTCCAATTTTTCTCTTCACTTCTGTTAGAATGACATTTATAAATTAGAAATATGATTATGGCTTCCCAATAATTACAAAACAATCTAAATGGGGTGACACATGTGAGGCCTTTTAATATCTGAGCTTACTGCCATCTTCCAGCCTCTGTTCCCAGCCCTTTCCCCCAGGGCTTTATGTTTCAGCTAGTCTCAAAACCTCACTTTTCCCTGAAGGTATCATTCTGCCTCTCTTATCTCCATTTGGAATAGCAGTATTGAAATAAAAGAGTTTTTAGAGCCAGAAAAACCTGGCATGAGACTTAGCTCTGCCATTTCCTACCTTTGTGAATCTGGACATGCTGTTTCTTTTCTGAGCTCCAGCTTAATTGTTTCTAGAATATGATTGACGTGAGAGTTAATGATAAAGGCCTATGTTTTAGTTCATGAAAGGCAGTCAATAAGTTTCTAGAATTATTACTATAATTCTTATCTGTTTTTGATAATTCCCTACTTTTCCTTTAAAACCCAGCTCCAGTGTTAGCTCTTTGATGAGGCTTCTCCAAGTACCAGACAAAGGACCTTGCTTTTTCTTAGACCTCTGTTCAAAGTTGTTAGAATACTCACCATCTTGTATTTTTATTGTCTATTTATGTGTTTGTCTTGCCTGCCTGACTTTGAACTCCTTGAGGAGAAGAATTGTATTTCATTTGTCTCTTCATCTCTTGTGCCCAGCACAAGGCCTGTCAGGTGCTCAGCGAATGTTGAATGAACAAATGACTGTTTTCATTCTTGGTTAGAAAGAACTTTCATTAAAACCCAGAGGAAGGAAATGTGGAGGCTTGTTTAGTCTGCGTTGCCTGATTAACTAGGCACACCCATGCTCTCTTGATTCCCCTACTGGTCTGTTCTTTGGCAAATATCAGAAGGTCGTGTGGCATCCTGTCTCCCTTATCTAGGTGGGTGTGATACAGCCAGGGAAGCCTCCACACCCTGTATCAAAATAGACCGGCTAGCTCCAGCCATAGGGAGGGCTTCAAAAACAAATTCAGCACTTGTCTTTGGGAGGTCTGCAGGGGTAAATTTAAGAATGAAAGCTCATCAAAAATGCCTGATAAAACTTGTCTGCACATACTATTGTGCTGCCAGGTATAAAGGGATATACAGAAAGTCCAAAGATTCTGGAAATAAAGGTTTCATTAGAGCTACAACTGATGGGTTCATATGTAAAGAGAAAAAGGAAAATGGGCCTGAAATAGGAAAATGAGGAAAGATTTTAGAGCTGTAGAGATTAACACTTGAACAGCAATCAGTTGGGTGAAAAGTAACCTTTCTGAGATTAATTATGTATTTCTTCACTGGCAAAATAGAGGATGGAAATTACTATCTTGCAGGTTGATAGAATGGCAAAATTAACAAGGTAAGAACAGTCTTATCTTGAGATTGTTTATATTGAGAGTGTTTTAGAAACACTCTCAATGCTTTATGTTTTCTTAGTACCTGAGAAATGACAATGTACATTCACAATAACTCTGGGGGAGCAGATAGAGTAATTATCGTTCATGTTGGGTATTTTCCTTTCCCCTCTGGATCTACTCTTACTCTTCTCTACCCTGCTCTGTGCCCCAGGGGACTGATCTGTAGAACACAGTGGGCTCCAATGTCTTCGGCTCCTTATTTGTTTGGTTAATGTTAATGGGGAACACAAGCAGATAATTAGAGAAAAAAAAGAACGTGAGGTCCGAGTATTCATTTCTTTGAAATCCATAATGTTAGACTCTGGGTTGGCTGCACACCTCTTCCAAAGGTCACAGCTTCTTCTAGGAGGTCCTACGCTTCAGGTTCCAGCTAGAGCTCCTTCCAGGTACAACTCTCAAACCTTGGGGCCTAGGAGTGGAAGTGGCTCCCTGCTGTTGCTAGCTGCCCCCTTCTCCACATAATTCACCATGTTGTGTTGGTTTTCCCCAACCCTGTCCACACCTTTGCAGTACTCTATTCATTAACCTGTCTTCACTCATCCCATTTGTGTGCACCATCAGTTTCCTGCTAGGACATTGACTATTGCAACCTCCAGTTAATGGTCTGAGAAATTAAAGCATGAATAAGTTAAATATCTAGGACAATGTCACATGATTAGGAATTGGCAGAATTTGTCTTGAAATCCAGGTCTTCTGACATCTGCTTCCATGTTAGTTTTAAGACTCAATGATGATGACACAGTCGAGGCCTCTGTTTTGGTCTAAGATTTAAATGATACAGTTCAAATCCTGGCTCCAGCCAGACCTAGCTAGTTGACCATAGACACATGCCTTTACTTCCATTATCCTCTATTTTCATTTTTTTTTCTGAAAAACAGGAAAAATACCCCTTATTCTGTTCATCTCAGGGAGCTGTGGTTAAAACAAGGTCATATTTGTCTCAAATATACAGATGACTTCCTGAAACTTAGAAAATGGTTATTGGTTTAAGTAGTCCAGATAATTTTTAAATTTAATATCAATTTTAATAATAACAAAAGGTATTAACTGCCTAAAATATCAAGGACTGTATGTACTATGTCAAAAATAACAATGATAATAATAACAATGACCCTATGATGATGATAATGGTAGCAATTATAATAATAATACTAGAAAATAATGTTTGTTGAGTTTTTATTAGTCTTTTTAGGCTTCCACAACAAAATGTTATAGACTGGGTGGCTTAAATGACAGAAGTTAATTTTTTCAGAGTTATGGAGACTGGAAGTCCGAGGTCAAGGTGCCAGCAGGGTTGGTTTGTGATGAGGGCTTTCCCCTTGGGTTGCAGATGGATGACTTCTCACTATGTCCTCGCATGACCTCTTATTAGCGTGCCCTCTCTAGGTAGGAAAGGTACAGGAGAGTAAAAGAAAGAGAGCACACAGAAAGAACTTCTGCTTATAAGGACACTGATCCTATCAGGTCAAGGTCTCATCCCTATTACCTCATTTAACTTTAATTAGCTCCTTTACAACCCTACTTCCAAATACAGATACACTGGCTTCAACATAGGAGTTTATGCAGTGGGGCAGCAGCTAACATTCAGTCCATAACAAGTATTATCTGTGTATCCGAGTCTGTGCTAAGCACTTCATTTTTATTTTTTATTATTATTATTATTTTTTGAGACAGGGTCTTGCTCTGTCACCGAGGCTGGAGAGTAGTGGCTCATCATGGATCTCTGCAGCCTTAAGTTCCTGGGTTCAAGCAAGCCTCCCACCTTAGCCTCCTGAGTAGCTAGGACCACAGGTGTGTGCCACCAAGCCTGGCTAATGAAAAAAATTTTTTTATAGAGCCGGAGTCTCCTTATGTTGCCCATGTTGGTCTCGAACTCCTGGGCTCAAGTGATCCTCCTGCCTCAGCCTTTCAAAGTACTGGGATTACAGGCATGAGCCACTGTGCCTGACCCTGTACTAAACACTTTGAATGCGTCATTTCACTTAGTAGTATTCTTAGGGAAGAATACTACAAAAGAAGTCATAGATAATATGTAAATGACCAGAAGTAGTATTGTTCCAATAAAACTTTATTTACAAAAACAGCTGGCAAATCAGATTTGGGCTACAGGCTATAGTTTGCTAACTCGTGTACTGTATGCCAAAGACAATGTTAGGTCCTGGAGACAAAATGGTGATCTCAAGAAGCTCACACACAGGTGGAAAATAAATGAACAAATATGATGAAATTATACCAGTGCTCTCATGGAGGTCTCTACCGAGTTCACTGGGAGTAAAGGAGAAGGAACAGGTGTGAGAAGGGTAAGAGTTTCATGTAGAGGCAGGTGTGTTTGGGGAGTTGGCATACTCTGGAGTTTGGATTTATCCTTTGAGCCATTGAGAACCATATTAATGGATGGACATAAAGCACAGAGGCTTTAGACTAATTGCTGATTTGCCCATTTATTAGTTTTGTGGCATTAGAAAAATAACATGATTTTTCTAAGACTTGTTTTTTCTCCTGAAAAATGTGAATATTAATATTTCCCCTATAGAGTTGTTGTGTGGCTCCAATGAAACAATGAATGCAAAGAATTTAGCATGATACCTGACATATAGTATGTTCTTAATAAATAATAAATATACATATTTTTGTTTTAGAAAGATTACTCTGACCTGGTAAATGTGTTAAAAGACCTAATATTAGAGGCAGGAAAATAAAATAGGAAATGATGACAGAAATCCATAGGAGAAAGAGTGAAAGTATGAATTTAAGCAGAGGCAGAAAAGATGGAGAGAGAGATGTGGACAGGGCTCGAGAGCTAATTCAATGTCAGAGGGAGAGATAGGTCTAAATTAGCTCTAGTGTGTTAGGTATCTAGTGATGCCATTCACCAAGTTAAGGAGCATAGGAGGAAAGCCAGATTTGGGGTAAAGGTATTGAATTCCTTTTTTGGACACATTGATTGGGTGGAAATGTCCAGTAGTTAGTTGATTGCACACTTAACTTTGGAGTTTCAAAATTGAGAATTACCATCAGTGAAAGAATTATCATCATAAAACCCCTGAAAGAGATGAAATCACCAAGGAAGTATTAATAGCTCAAAAAAAAAAAATCAGACAAATTAGCCTTGAAAAACTCACCATTTCAGGGAGCAGAGATAAAGAATCTAGTATGTGTTTTTTAAAAAGTTCAAGAAGGAAATGTCAGAATAGGTCAAGGAGCTCAGAAAGCACTCATATCTCAAAAGTCAATGAAAGAGAGTTATAAGAAGAAGACAAATCCTAAGTATTGGTGAGATGTGGCAAAGTGGTCAACTGAGTTAGCAAATAATCCATAAGTTTAACTGAGGTAGATTTGGTATAACAGTAGAAGGTATGGGATTTTCATGGATTAGAGACTGAGTGGGAACTGGGGGAGTCAAGGCAGTGATTATAGATTATTCCTTGGGGAGAATTTGATTATGAAGAAAAAGGGAAATGAGCACAGGTGCTAGCAAAGACATAAGGGTGGACTTCCTTTCTTTCCTTCAACCTTTTAGAAATTAAATGTCCAGGAAGGAGGACTCTCTAGAGGAATCAGGTGAAAATTGACTGGGAGAAGAGATGGAAAGATTTGCCTTGAATAGGAGAAGGGTGTCTATTAGTTTGGCACGGAATCCAAGGAGATATTGCCTGATGCTGAAATCTGGGCTTCTATTGATCCTGTCACCGAAATAGTAAACACAGTACTTGATAGTTTTTCAGCTCTTGCCCCCCCTTTGTAGCTCCTAGTGTCTATTTGTTCTCATCTTTGTGTCTGTATGTTTAAATACCCGGTGTTTAGCTTCCATTTATAAGTGAAAACATATGGTATTTGGTTTTCTGTTTCTGTGTTAATTAACTTAGGATAATGGCCTCCAGCTGCATCCATGTTGGTGCAAAAGCCAGGATTTCATTTTCTTTTATGGCTGCATAGTATTCCATGGTGTATTTGTACCACATTTTCTTTATCCAATCCACCATTGATGGCCACTGAGGTTGATACCATGTGTTTGCTATTGTGAATAGTGCTGCGATGAACATACAAGTGCAGATGTCTTTTTGATTGAATGATTTTATTTGATTGAATGAATTTATTTTCCTTTGAGTATATACCAAATAATGGGATTACTGGGTCAAATGGTAGTTCTATTTTTAGTTCTTTGAGAAATCTCCAAACTGCTTTCCACAGGGGCTGAACAAATTTGCATTCCCACTAATAGTGTATAAACATTCCCTTTGTGCCACAACCTTGCCAACATCTGTTATTTTTTGACTTTTTAATAACAGCCGTTTTGACTGGTGAAGGATGGTATCTCATTGTGGTTATGATTTGCATGATGATCTCTGATGATCAGTGATATTGAGCACTTTTGTTTTACATAATTTTTGACCACTTGTAGGTTTTCTTTTGAGAAGTGTCTATTAGTGTTCTTTGCTCACTTTTTAATGGGGTCGTTTTTCTCTTGTTAATTTGTTTAACTTCTTTATAGATTCTGGATATTAGTCCTTCGTCAGATGCATAGTGTGTGAATATTTTCTTCCATTCGGTAGGTTGTCTGTTTATTCTGTTGATAGTTTCTTTTGCTGTGCAGAGGCACTTTAATTAGATCCCATTTGTCAATTCTTGTTTTTGCTGCATTTGCTTTGAGAAGTTAGTCATAAATTCTTTGCCTAGGCCAATGTCCACAAGAGTATTTCCTAGGTTTTCTTCTAAGATTTATATAGTTTGAAGTCACTCATGTAAGTCTTTAATTCATCCTGAGTTAATTTTTGTATATGGTAAGAGGTAAGTGTCCAATTTCATTCTTCTGCATATGGTTAGTCAATTTTTCCAGAACCATTCATTGAATAAGGAGTCCTTTCCCTGTTGCTTATTTGTGCCGACTTTGTTAAAGATCAGTTGATTGTAGGTGTGTGGCTTTATTTCTGGGCTCTCTATTCTGCTCCATTGGTCTATGTGTCTATTTTTATACCAGTACCATACTGTTTGTGTTACTGTAGCCTTCAAGTGTAGTTTGAAGTTGGCTAGTGCGATGGCTCCAGCTTTGTTTTTTCACCTAGGAATCCTTGGGCTATTTGGGCTCTTTTTTGGTTCTATATAAATTTTAGGATAATTTTTTCTAGTGCTGTGAAAAATGATATTGGTAATTTGATAGGAATAGCATTGAGTCTGTAGTTTGCTTTGGGCAGTATGGACATTTTAACTATATTGATTCTGGAAGGAGAGTTTTCAAGTGCTTACCTGATAGCCTCAATTTTCTCTCTGAAGAGTCAACCAGTTTATCTGCTAAGAGAAGAGGGAGCAATAATTAGGAAGGTGGTTTGACCAGAGTACGATTTGAAATATTTGCTCTGCTGGTAAGGCCCAACTGAACGTAAAGACCATAACTTTGGAGTGGCACACATTTATTTATTTAATTTTGTCATTCCTTCTAACCATGCTCAGAAACTAGGGGGAGAAGAGAAGATGGTATATGATCACATTGACACAGGACTGAGAATTTGATTGACAATATGGTAGGAGAACAAAAGATTGGGATAATAAAGGCATTAGCAATAAAATAACTAAAGTGATGGACTATGTGTTCCAATGGATAGAAAAGAAAGTATTGGCAGGAGGAAACTGATAGTGGAAAAAATAAGGGACAAAGAACTAGAGGGTCCTGATGAGATTAAAGTATCATGTGTGGGCTAGGAGCAGTGGCTCACGCCTTAATCCCAGCACTTCAGGAGGCCAAGGCAGGCGGAGGTCAGGAGTTTGAGACCAGCCTGGCCAACATGGTGAAACTCCATCTCTACTAAAAATACAAAAGTTAGTTGGGTGTGGTGGTGGGCACCTGTAATCCCAGCTACTTGGGGAGCTGAGGCAGGAGAATTGCTTGAACCCAGGAGGCAGAGGTTGCAGTGAGCCGAGGTAGCGCCATTGCACTCCAGCCTGGGTGACAAGAGGAAAACTCTTGTATGTGTGGTAGGCCTAAGGAAGGGAAAATTGGACTGATAGAAAGTTAGAGGCAAAGATTTGTATATTAGAGTTTAGGATGTCAGGGGTAGAATGTTTCCTTTTAATGATCAGCTCTAAGATGTAGCCACAACACATGTTATGAAATTGGGCCTATAGAAGATGGTCAAGAAAATTTTCAGTGATAGTAATAACATACAGTTTTCATCTGTGTGATATTTTGCAGATTGCAAAGCACTTTCATATCCACGATCTCAGTTGACCTCATCCTATGATAAGGATAGAGCAGGAATTATCTTAATTATTATCTTAATTTTATACTTGAAACAATTGAGGCTTGAAGATATTAAGTGTCTTATCAGGCTAGTTACATAAAGGAAATTTCAACTGGGATGAAATACTAGCATCTGGATCAAAGGTGAAAAGACTCCATTTATTTCTACCAATTCAGACAATGCAGTGTTATACATACACTGAATGAATATTCTGGATGGCATTGATTTGGCAAAACAAAAACAAACCAATACAGCAATAACTGCTCCCTTGGAAAAGTTGGTGGATTCAAAATCATGAGGTTCCCTCACCCCCCATCCTGAGCCAAACAAAACATTCTTTACCTGCTCAGTCATACCTGGTAATTTCACAACGATTAGGTGATCGTGTTCCCTGACTCTCATCGGCAGCAGGGCTCCTGGAAGTCCTGCTTCTCATTACTACTGTGGACTGGAGCCTCCCCAGAGCTCCCTGGGGTCCTTGGCCTGGGTGAAGATGGATGAAGATCAGATCCAGCAGCTGTGGGTAGAGGAGGGTCCAGGAAGCAGGCACAAAGAGAGGTAATTCATCCACATGGCAAAACAGAGCATGATCTGGGGAAGCTGGAGGCCTCCCAAACAGGGTAAGAGAGAGCGATACCCTTCCATTTTCAGCTCAGATTTCTCTTTTGCCTCCCTTGCTCCATGTGGGCCTATTCTAGTCCCAACCTAGGTGTCAGATTCCCTCTCAACCGCTGGTTGTTCACTGGTTCCTCAACCAGAACCCACATCTTGGCCTATGAAAGTTATTAACTCCTTCCCTTCTACCCTTTTCTGTTTCTGCTCACCAGGAAACAGTGGTTCCGCCAACCACTGTGGTGTTTGGAAGGACTAAACTGGATTTGACTTTATTTTGGCCACTGTTTTGCTCTGTGAGTTTGTATATGCGACTCTTGATCTCTATAGCTAATTTTCTCATCAGTGAAATTGTTGGTTGAACTACCCATAACTGGCAAATAGGTCTCTTTATAAACACCAATTCAGAAATGCTGTTAGTGGCTTCTTGGGTCTCTGTGTAGAGAAGGATCCTGAGGTATGCCGAGGTTCAGGAGAGCTAGCACAGTGGGACCCCATTGCCTGTAGAACAGTTGCTCTCAAACTGTAGTGTACAACTCATTATCTGGAGAGCTCATTATAACACAGATTGCTGGGTCCCACACCCAGAGTTTCTGATTCAGTAGGTCTGGGGTGTGGTCTGAGAATTTGTATTTCTAACAAATCCCCAGGTAAGGCTGATGCTGCTGGTCCAGGGACCATGCTTTAGAAACACCACTGTGGTATTTAATTTCTTATGGCTCAGTTTGGTTTTCTTGAAACAATGTCAGCCTCATCACCAGCTAGCTGACGCGAATAGACATAGGGATGCAAACTTCTTTAAGGGAGTTTAGAGATTTATTAAATAAAACAAGTTGCCCATCTGGCTTTAAAAAACAGAGTAGTACACCTCTAAGCATAAAATTCTATGATTTTGTAGTTCATATTTAACTAGTATGGTGAGACAGAAAATCTATGGGCTTTTGAGTCAGATTTAGCCGAGTTTAATCCTGGCTCTATGGTTTAACTATTTGACCTTGGACCAGTTACCAAACTCCTCACCTTTAATTTACACAGTAAATTCACAATCTTTTTGTTTTCTCTCATTGTTCTATGCTCAATGTCTAATTTATAGAAGGCAATCAAAAATATTCTTTGAATGAATATGCAATAATCTGTAATAGACAAATCTATAGACCCGCAGAAATTATTTTCTCTTTTTGTCCTCTCAGGGTGTGGGGATTAACGAATAAATTCTAAAGGAGCTTTCAAGAACAGAAAGCCAAACACCAGATGTTCTCACTCATAAGTGGGAGTTGAACAATGAGAACACATGGACAAAGGGAGTGGAACATCACACACCAGGGCCTGTTGGGGAGTGGGGTGCTAGGGGAGGGATAGCATTAAGAGAAATACTGAATGTAGATGACAGGTTGATGGGTGCAGCAAACCACCATGGCACGTGTATACCTATGTACCAAACCTGCACATTCTGCATATGTACCTCAGAACTTAAAGTATATATAAAAAAAAAATGTCATCTTTAAATATGCAGGAAGTCTGAACTCTATATTATGACTCAACTGTGGTAAGAAAATGTAGCTTCTTCCTCTCTAAATCATTCTATGAGGCCAACATCATCTTGATACCAAAACCTGGCAGAGACACAACAAAAACAGAAAACTTTAGGCCAATATCCTTGATGAACTTTGATGCAAAAATCTTCAGTAAAATACTTGCAAACTGAATCCAGCAGCACATTAAAAAGGTTACTCACCATGATCAAGTAGGCTTTATCCCTGGGATGCAAGGTTGGTTCAACATATGCAAATCAATAAATGTGATTCATCACATGAACAGAACTAAAGACAAAAATCACATGATTATTACAATAGATGTAGAAAAGGCTTTTGATAAAATTCAACACCCCCTCATGTTAAAAACTCAATAAATCAGTATTAAAGGAACACATCTCAAAATAATAAAAGCCATCTATGACAAAATCATAGCCAACATATACTGAATGAGGAAAAGCTGAAAGCACCCCCCTTGAAAACTGGCACAAGCCAAGGATGTCCTCTCTCACCACTTCTATTCAACATAGTATTGGAAGTCCTGGCCAGAACAATTGGGCAAAAGGAAGAAGGAAAGGGCATCGAAATAGGAAAAGAGGAAGCCAAACCGTCCCTGTTTGCAGATGACATGATCCCATATCTAGAAAACCCCATAGTCTCTGCCCAAAATCTCCTTCAACTGATAAAAAAACTTCAGCAAAGTCTCAGGATACAAAATCAACATACAAAAATCACTAATACTCCTATACACCAATAACAGTCAAGCCAAGAGCCAAATCAAGAATGGAATTCCATTTACAATTGCCACAAAAAAATAAAATACCTAGGAATACAGGTAACAGGGAGGTGAAAAATCTCTATAAGAAGAGCTACAAAACACTGCTCAGAGAAATCAGAGATTACACAAACAAATGGAATAACATCCCAGAATCAATATTGTTAAAAATGGCCAACCCAAAGTATTTTACAGATTCAATACTATTTTTATCAAACTACCAATGACATTCTTCACAGAACTAGAAAAAAACTCTTTTAAAAATTATATGGAACCAAAAAAAAGAAAAAAGCCCAACAGCTGAGGCAATCCTGAGCAAAAAGAAAGCTGGAGGCATCATGCTACCCAACTTCGAAATATACTACAGGGCAACAGTAATCAAAACAGTACGGTATTGGTACAAAAACACATAAACCAATGGAACAGAATACAGAGCCCAGGAAAAAGGCTGCACACCTACAACTATCTGATCTTTGACAAAGTCAAAAAACACAAGCAATGGGAAAAAATACTCCCTTTTCAATAAATGGTGCTGCAATAACCATCTAGCCATATGCAGATGACTGAAACTGGACCCCTTCCTTACACCATATAAAAAAGTTAACCCAAGATGGATTAAAGACTTAAATGTAAAATCCAAAACTATAAAAATCCTGAAAGACAACCCAGGCATTATCATTCTGGACATAGGAATGGTCAAAGATTTCATGACAAAGACACTGAAAGCAATCACAACAAAAGCAAAAATGACAAATGGGACCTAATTAAACTAAAGAGCTTCCATACAGCAAAAGAACCTATCAATTGAATAAAAAGACAACGTACAGAATGGGAGAAAATTTTTGCAAACTATGCATCTGACAAAGGTCTAGTGTCTGGCATCTATAAGGAACTTAAACAAATTAACAAGAGAAAAATGAACAACTGTATTAAGAAGTGGGCAAAGGACATGAACAGACACTTTCAAAAGGAGACACACATGTGGCCAACAAGCTTATGAAAAAAAGCTCAACATCACTAATCATTAGAGAAATGCAAATCAAAACCGCAATGAGAGACCATCTCACATCAGTCAGAATGGCTATTACTAAAAAGGTAAAAATAACAGGTACTGGCAAGGTTGTGGAGAAAAAGGAGCACATATATATTGTCGGTGGGAGTATAAATTAGTTCCACCATGGTGAAAAGCAGTGTGGTAATTCCTCAAAGACCTAAAAACAAACAGCAATCACATTACTGGATATATACCAAAGGAATATAAATCATTCTATCATAAACACACATGCATGAGTATGTTCATTGCAGCACTATTCACAATAGCAATGACATAGAATCAACCTAAATGCTCATCACTGGTAGAATAGATAAAGAAAATGTGGTACATGTACACCATGGCATACTATGTAGCCATAAAAAAGAATGAGGTCATGTCTTTGTAGTGACATGAATGGAGTTGGAGACCATTATCCTTAGCAAACTAATGCCGGAACAGAAAACCAAATACCACATGTTCTCACTTATAAGTGGGAGCTAAATGATGAGAACACATAGACACATAAAGGGGAACAACACACACTGGGGGCCTACCTGAGGGTAAAGAGTGGGAAGAGGAAGGGGATCAGAGAAAATAACTAATGAGTACTAGGCTTAATACCTTGGTGATGAGATAATCAATACAACGAACCCCCATGACACGAGTTTACTTATGTAGCAAACCTGCACAAACCTGCACCTGAACTTAAAATATAAGTTAAATAAATAAAAAGGGAAAAAAAAAGAAAATGTAGCTTCTTTATTTTCCATAATGTCTCTAATCTTTCTGATGAAACTCACTCTTCTGCTTCACAGTCAGGAGTGGGAGGAGGAACATCTAAATGGTGAAAGTTATCTTTGTTTTAGTTCTTTTGAGGGATTTCTTCTTCTTCTTTTTTTTTTTTTTTCCAAAATGTTTAGTTTTCCAGAACTTACTCTCCCCTTCTCCTCTTTTGTGGCTCCATGTAAAGATGTGACCATGTGATCCCAGGATAACCCAGGAAAGGACCACTCACTGGGCTGTGTGGTTTGTGGTTGGTCTTCTCTTGCCTCTGGGATGTTGATTATTGAGGGGCAACTTGTTCATTCTGGCTCTTTGGAGCATCTTTGGAGACACCACTGCAGGGATGCACTATCTTGGCCATTTGGTTACTAAGTCCAAGCTCACTGTGGCCTCTTTGTCCTTATCTTGGATTCCTGCAGCTCTCTTAGCCCTCTCAGGACCACGGTGTCACCTCATCTGTGTAAGAAGAATTTCTGGACTCATGCCTGTGATGTAGGCAGGGTATTTGTTCATATCTAAAGTACAACTATACTCAAAAAATTCAATGTAGCTTATTGGGAAGAACTCAGGAGTAAGTTCCAGAAGACCTGTTATATTGCCAAGTTGATCATTCTATAGAAGCCCTATTCATGTCCTTTCATTACCTCTTACATGCTGTGGGATGTCAAAATCATTGCTTAGTTTCTTGCACATTCATTTCTTCATTTCTACCAAGAGGATTATATAGCAATGTTAAAGAACTGATGTGTTGATAAAAAGAAATGTTATTTGTAACAATTCTCGATGAAAAGCAGAGCTCTCATTCCTTGGCAGATGTTTTCTGAGAAGTTACTATGTGTACTAAGTTCTGGGGTAATAAGATACCCTCCTATATCCTCATGATATTCACAACCTTGTGGGGTGTCTGACTCACCGACTGATCATGACAGAGAAGCACAGGGATTGTGGGATGTCACACTGAAACACAAGAGCCTGTGTCACCTCAGATGTGTTGCTTCAGTTCTCAGAGCCTCTGTGTCCTCATATGTCATGGAAGTAATACAAACATCTTAATAACTGTGTGTGTATGTGTGTGTGTGTGTGTGTGTGTGTGTGTGTGCATGAAGGTTAAATAAAAAGGGAATAAAGGCATTTTGTTACCAATAAAGAAGGAATCATAAGAATTAAAATTAGAATATTAATTATAATAAGTATATTCTTCCTTTCATGGAACCACAGCCATCTTAGAGTTGCAAAAAAGAGATAATCATCGTTAATCAAAACTCAAAGAAAATAAAGGGAAATGTACTCAAATTTAAAAAGACAAATACTTAAAACATATTTTTTGTTTTAATTTTGAAAGAAAAAGCTCTGTAAGTTTAAGGATTAGAAGTGGGGATCTGGAGTTGTGCGGAGGGCTCTGGAGCCTCTTAAAACAGGGAACTTAATGTGAAGAGTAGGGAATATAGAATGATCAGCTTGGCAATATAACAGATGCCTCATCTCATGCAGAGCCTAAAAAAAAGCCTCCCCATATGCTGCAAATGCCATATTTTTAATTTGCCAAGGAACTCTAACCTGTTTTATGTGAGCCATATAATTAATATGTAATAGCATATTTGGTTGAGTAGACATAGTATTTAATCTTTGAATACACATAGGGTATTGTCACTGTGGAACCAGGCGCAAGAATGAAGAAATGACTGAACACATCTGAACCTTTAGGCTGAAGGGTTTTTCAAGGTGGAGGAAGTGGCTACTTAGGAAAGAAGATCCATTACTGAACGTTTACATATTATGGCTATAGGAGCATAGACATTTCCAGCTGAGAAGGATCTTAGAAATTAGCAAGTCCAATCCCTTTTTACACAGATAGGCAAGGACCCAGTTGCAGGTAAGGGATTGTGGTTCAACAATAATAACATCAACAACACAAACAGCAAGAGCAGCAGCAGCTACCAATATTTCCTGAGTATTCCTTCTGTGCTAGTATTGGTAGTGCTTAGCATGGATCCTAGAAGCTCCCACTGTGCATGTGGTTCCTGGACTCACTCTTCCCCAGCTTTAGGAATTGAGTACAGCTGAATCCCAGTCCTCCTATGGCAACTAAGCCAGGCCAAGGTGTTCAGTCACTGAAGCTGCTGGAATTTTCACTATCTTAGTTCATGTGAGTCATGCCCTCCTGCATGAGGCTCAGCACCCACTCTGTCAAATGGATCTCCCCACTAGGGCACCCATCCCTGTTTTTTATTTTGCTATTTTTATTTTATTTTATTTTATTTTATTTTATTTTATTATTTTATTTTATTTTATTTTATTTTATTTTATTTTATTTTATTTTATTTTATTTGAGACAGAGTCTCGCTCTGTTGCCCAGGCTAGAGTGCAGTGGCATGATCTTGGCCCGCTGCAACCTCAGTCCCTGGGGCTCAAGTGATTCTCCTGTCTCGGCCTCCCAAGTAGCTAGGATTACAGGCACCCGCCACCATACTTGGCTAATTTTCGTATTTTTAGTAGAGATGGTGTTTTGCCACATCGTCCAGGCTGGTCTTGAACTCCTGGCCTCAAGTGATCCTCCCCCCTCGGCCTCTTAAATTTCCATCCCTGTTTTTAACTGTTAACACCCAAAATATAACTTACTTTGGTGGTTGTCTGCTGCCCTATAGCCTTTAACTATACCACCCTCACCATAAGGCTAGGCAAAGCTCTCATCTTCAACCCATCTCTCTACTTCTCTGATACCTTTTAAATTCATCCTTTCTATTCTGAAGACTTGCCACTCCAGAATCAGCAAAGTCCTCTCTACTCCCGGTCTATTCTCAGAATGTTCTACTCACTCCTTCCCTTAACTGAGACCGGGCTTTTTCCTGCTGGATTTTACTTCCCAGACAGCCCTCACATGCAGGATCTTTTTATTCTCTCCCATTTTCTTCCATGAACCCCAGGACTAGAGTGGATTTGTTGAGTCCCTTATGTCCCATTTCTGCTTCCAGATTTCTGTTTCTTCATCATCTTGTAAAAATTCTGTTCCCATTAGGCCTGTGCCTGTTGGTATACCACCCTCCCCTCGTCACTAGTATCTTCAACTCTTGCGGTTTCTCCCACACCCTTGTTGAACATCACAGACTAAATGAGTCCTCCTTGCCATCCCAATCCCTTCCCTCATCCCAGGTGATCGTCCCATCTCTGTGGGGATGGAGTCAACCAACAGCCTGCCCTCTCACTTGCTACGCTCCTTTCTCCTTTACTTCATTTCAGATATCCCCTCTGTCACTCCAACTTTTTACTTTGCCACCATTCAAAATATTCTCAAATTTGAAATAACTAGTTCAAGCAACCTGCTTTGTCTCCATCACTTTGTGCCTTTCCAGTTTGTTTGTTAATTTGCTATTAGTCCAAATATTTTTTAACCTCTTTGGAACCTGCTGTGAATTGATCCTTCATTTCTACAATCTGTCAGACCTCTTAATCTTTTTAGCTTCACTCCTTATGATTTAGACTCAGTAAGTCCATTGTCTCCGTAACTCTCCTGTCAACACCCCTCTCCCTTTCTTTTGTATCACAGCTACTTGGCAAAATTTGAACTCTGGATTAATTCCTCTATCTGCTTTCTCTTCACCTGCATCAGAGAAGCTGACTGCTGCTGGAGAAAGTCAATTGATGGGGAAAACCTGTATCTCTCTCAGGACATTGTAGGGAAATCATAGAAAACTCAAACTCAACTCAAAGCGACCTTTGATTTGGGTTAAACAAAAAAAAGGAATTACTGATGAATGTAACCAAAAAGTCCAGAAGCAGGGCTGACATTAAGAAATCTTTAATCTAAGATTTCTTTAATTTAAAGGCCAAAATGATGTCACTAACATAACAGTGTTATCTTCATTTGTTTCAGGTTTTGATTTTTTTTTTCCATTCTCTCTTGCCTCTGCTTTCCTGGGTGACACCACCATCCTCAGCTTTACACAGTGCCTCTGACATCTCTGAGTACCCCACTGTAATGACTGCTGACTGCAGTACCCAGTGCCATATTGTCACACCATATTGTGCAGGGAATGGGAGACCTTTCAGGGAAGCTTCATTTTCTCCAAAGCACCTGTGAATGTCTCCTTGCATCTCATTGGCTCTGATTGGCTTACACCTTCATTCCTGACCAATCACTGTGGTCTGGGGATAGGCTATGCTGGTTGGCCTAAACTAATCAGGGCCTAAACCAGGAGCTGAATATGCAAAAGGGAAAGATGTCTCAAAGAGAAGTTGGAGGATCTGTTCTATCTTCTATTGAAGGCCAATTCCTCCACTTCTTTTTGAATTCCACCCCCTTCCTGCTGTTTCTTCACCTGCCTGCCACACCCCTAGTATCCATTCCAAAAGAGAGCCCAACCACTGTCAAATTTGCTTCCAGAATTTCCCTGAATGCATGTACCTGCTCATCATCTCTGCTGCTATTACTCTTGTTCCAGCTCTTCTGTATCCACTCTGGCCTTCTTCGGTTTCATCACCACAATGTAGCCAGTGTCATCATCAAACATATAGATATGTACATATTAATTCCATATTTGAAAGCTCCCCAGTGAATTTCCATTGGTTCTATGATAAAGACAGAAATCTTTGCAGAGCTTATAAGGACCCTACCTGATCTAGAATCTCCCTATGTCCATAGCCTGATTTTACACTACTTGTGTTTGTCCCCAATCATACTCTCCTCCTCTTTTGCTGAATTAGCTGCCTGTCAATATGCAAACTTTAGTCAAAGCTTATTCCTCAGGTAACCTTCCATGCATTCCTAGTTTTGAGAAGGTTTATCAGCCACAGATGCTCTCAAAACAGTGGGTCTTTCTTTCAGAGTTCAAACAGCTTGTAATTATTTGGTTGTTGGCATGATTGCTGATCAAGTCTCTTCCTCACTAATCTCTAAACTACATGACAGCAAATTTAGATCCTTCTGAAACTGGTTTCTTTTCTCATTATTTAATTCCCAGCAATTAGCAGGCAGCTTACATATATTAAATTTATTCATGTGAATGAATAAATTTCAAGTGATAAATCCATATGAAGTGGTTAACATAGTCCCTGACAAATGGTAAGCGTTCTGAAGTGGTAGGTATTATGACCATATTGTTGTTATTGTTGTTGTTATAATTCCCTATTATTACAGAAGTATTTTTCACGTTACATGCTTCGCCTTCACTCAATGAAAAAAAAAAATCAGTAGAATTGTCTACAAACATTGAGCACAAAAGCCACTGGTGATGTACAGCTCTGCATTTGCTAATCAGAGATCAACAGTTGCATGTTAGGTAGCTTGAGATAACAAAATTTCTGAAGAAGGGACATGTTTCCCTCCTCCATACAAACAAGGAGAAAACCAACTAAATGGCTTAATGCTGCTCCATATAGCATATACACCTTAATTCATTGTCAGAAACATTTTATAATTTCTTCATGTCTTTATTTTAAAATAGAAACATACTGGCTGGGCATGGTGGCTCACGCCCGTAATCCCACCGCTTTGAAAGGCTGAGGCAAGCTGATTGCTTGAGGCCAGGAGTTCGAGACCAGCCTGGCCAACATGGCAAAATCTGGTCTCTACTAAAAATGCAAAAATTAGCCAGGTATGGTGGTGGGCGCCTGTAATCCCAGCTACTCAGCAGGCTGAGGCGGGAGAATCGCTTGAACCCAGGAGGCAGTGGGCCGAGATTGCACCACTGAACTCCAGTGTGGGTGACAGAGTGAGACTCTGTTTCTAAATAAATAATTAGGAAAGTACTGAGAAACCACCTCGTCCTAGATATCATTAGTCACCAAGCCTCTTTCTAAATAATCACACACCTGATTCTCTCTATAAAATGTTGCTTGTGTTAATTATGCTTCAAAATCATTACAACATAGTATAAATTTAATTAGGTTTGGAAAAAAGGAAAAAGATTCTAAAGAAATAAGCCAAAATATATATTTTGTCTCTGGATAGATGGATTTTTACATCATTTGTGTTTTCTCTTTATACTCTTCTAAAATTCTAAATTTCTAATTATTGTCCTGTAATTGTATTATAATCAGAAAAGGTAGACATAATATTTTAACTCTATATATCATATTTTGTATATACGATCTGATCACAATTATGTAAGAAATATATGTGGCAGAAGCAGACTGTAGAAAAATACAGCAAACTCTTAACAGAAGTTATCCCTGGGTATTACAACTATGTGATATTTTCTCTATTTTTAAAATGCAATCTTTTTATAATGGAAAATGATTTTTACTTTAAAGTGAAATAAATGTACATATAGGACATGGCCCTTGCCTTTGAGGAACTTGCAAAAATTCTTAGCACAGAATGGATGATTGAAAGTATAGTGGATTATAGAAGTTAGGCTGGAAAACATTTTACTAGAAGCCAAAATACTTGGAAAAATCAAGTTTTTCACTTAAAATATTGTAATGAGATAAATTGTCACTTGTCTTGCATAGATAACTTTAGAGTGGAAAGTAGTGCTAAAGCCAGGAAGTTGGCTGATTTCTTTTCCACCATGCAACATAAAGTCTAAGGAACTGAACAATGAAAAAACTATTTGTTAAAATTACTTGGATTAGGAAAATAAAATTAATTATTATGTCTTAAAATAAAGAAGCCCCAATTACTTTTTTAAAATAATTTTCACATAGTAGGCCCTCAATAAAATTTGAAATTCACAAATTATTTTCCTAGACATTTTATATTGGTAAGGGTACACATTGCCACATAACAGGTAAAAGTAGAATTCTTGACAATTATATAAATGTTTTTTCTCTACTGATCCAGGCCATATGAATCCTGTCTTGACTTCAGTGTTGACTCATAACCCATTTCTTCAAGGAAGCCTCCATGACTGCACTAGTGTATAGCCTTTGTCCCCTCCTATGACATCTATTAGCATTTTTTCTCTAAAGCTTGTTTGAAAATTTGTTATGTCTTTTATTAACCTGTACGTTTCCTTAAACAATCCTTTATAATAGTTAAACCTATTGCTATACAAAATCCTAATCCCCTTGTAAGATGACCTTAGGTTTGGATTGCTGCTCCTCTCACTTTTGTCCTTCTTAAGTAATTATTGTTCCCGACCTCCCCAAGTATTCATATTTCTGCTA
Source organism: Homo sapiens (assembly GCF_000001405.40). Classification (NCBI taxonomy): domain Eukaryota; kingdom Metazoa; phylum Chordata; class Mammalia; order Primates; family Hominidae; genus Homo; species Homo sapiens. The sequence continues at coordinate 56,114,040 of NC_000001.11, read as the reverse complement.
AATTCCCCTATTTATTTTCTCAGCTCTTTTATTGATGTTTCTCAGTACCATTTTTCTGGCCACTGCCTTGTCTGTTCTCCAAAACAATACTGGTTGCCTTCCCTGATTACTATCCTGAGAATTCTTGGACTCTTGACCCCTGTTCAGCTCTATCCCCACTGAGTCCACTTTGATGCTTGGGTGGGACTGAAGCAATAGCCCTTGGCTGTCCAAGGACACTGTCTGCCCCTTGGGATATGAGATAGCATTTTGTATGTTTAAAAAAATAGCTTCTTGTGCCCAAGTTTTCTCGTCTGAACAGGAAAACAAAATCTTCCTCATACAGTTATTGTAAGGATTAAGTAAAATAATGCGTGTTAGCATCCATTAGTTACCTACTATATGGTAGGCACTATTTTGGATGCTTATATTTTTCTCCTTTCCTTTGGGATTATGAATTTTTGTTTTCCAAATTTTAAAACACAGATCCTACAATTTGTTACCAGGTATTTTTTGAAATAAGGAGTATGTGATAAGTAATTTTGGGAAACATGAGTTGAATTGGATTTAAAAGATTTCTCCTCAAGATCTAGAATTTGTCATGATTCTCTAGTGGAGTATACTAGGCAAATTCTCCCAAACACATTTGACGATGGATGTTAGCTTCTCACAGAATGTTTATAAAAAACTTGGATTAGAAGATCATGTTGCCAATCTGACTCCTCTTTATGCAAACCTCAAAATAAAGCTTCTGTTTTATTGACTGATATGCTAAGATAAATTATTTTTTTTAAAAACTATCTTTTACAATTGTGTACTCATATAAATCAAGCTTTCTCAATACTGTGCAACCAAAACAAAACAGGAAATGAAATTGGATGCTGAGGATGAAATAAGATGGCAACTTGGGAATCATAAACTTTAACGTCAAACTTCATGTGTTTAGTAAAACATCTTTATTCATCTCAGTTAATGACTTCATAAAACCTTAAAGTTACAAAAATTGAACTTATTGTGAAATTTTAAAAATTGGAATTAAAATTTCATCTCCAGTATGGAGTAGTGAGCTACCGCAAATAACAGAACTTGGGAAAAGATACAAAACACTAACTAACTTGAAAACTCTGGAGACTGAGCAAAAGCAGAAGGTTGTGGAGGAAAGTTGAAACACGAGATGAAGGAACCAAATGGAGCAAGTTCCGTGCTTTATGTGGCTTTATTTTGAAGGTACCCACAATCATAGTGTAGACAATGCCATGTAACTACAATTCTGATTTAAAAACCCTGACATATTTTTAGCCAAATAAAGCAGATAAAGCAAACCTGTGGCAACCATAGCCACCAGAGAGTGAGGAGGAAAGAGTCAAAGGATGGCAGCCCTAATTCAATGTTTAAACTCAGCTGAAATTTCCAAATAACCTCTGAACCATGCATTTGTGAGGAAATTGAAAGCAGCTTGCAACAAAGGATCAAATACCTCACCTTTTGAAAAGTGTCTATTCATGTCCTTTGCCCATTTTTCAATTGGATTGTTTGTTTTTTGCTTGTTGATTTGTTTAAGTTCCCTGTAGAGTCTAGATATTAGACTTTTGTCAGAGGCATAGTTTGCAAGTGTATTCTCCCATTCTGTAGGTTGTCTGTTTACCCTGTTGATAATTTCTTTTGCTGTGCAGAAGCTCTTTTGTTTAATTAGGTCATATTTGTCAATTTTGTTTTCGTTGCAATTGCTTTTGGTCACTTAGCCATAAATTTATTGCCAAAGCCAACATTAACAAGGGTATTTCCTAGGTTTTCTTCTATGATTTTTATAGTTTCAGGTCTTACATTTAAATCTTTAATCCATCTTAAATTAATTTTCATATACGTTGAGAGGTAGGGGTCCAGTTTCATTCTTCTGCATATGGCTAGACAATTTTCCCAGCACCATTTATTGAATAGACAGTCCATTTCACATTGCTTATTTTTGTTGTTTTTGTCAAAGACCAGATGGTTGTTGGTGTGTGGGTTTATTTCTGGGTTCACAATTCTGTTCTACTGATCTGTTTTTGTACCATACCAGTACCATGCTGTTTTGATTACTGTAACCTTACAGTATAGTTTGAAGTCAGGCAATGTGGTACCTCTGGCTTTGTTCTTTTTGCTTAGGATTTAGCTATTCAGGCTCTTTTTTTATTCCAAATGAATTTTAGAGTAGTTTTTTTCTAGTTCTGTGAAAAATAATGTTGGTATTTTGATAAGAATAGTATTAAATCTATAAATTGCTCTGGGCACTATGGCCATTTTAACTATATCGATTCTTCCAATCCATGATCATGGAATTTTTTTTTTAATTTGTGTATGTCATCTTTGATTTATTTTAGCAGTGTTTTGTAATTCTTGTAGAGGTCTTTCACCTCCCTGGTCAGATGGATTCCTAGGAATTTCATTTTCTTTGTGGCTATTGTAGATGAAACTGTGTTCTCAATTTGGTTCTCAGCGATAACATTATTGTTGTATAAAAATACTACTGATTTTTGTACATTGATTTTCAACAAACATGAAAAATGCTCAACATCACTAGTCATCAGAGAAATGCAAATCAAAACCACAATGAGATACCATCTCACACCAGTCAGAATGGCAATTATTAAAAAGTCAAAAACAACAAATGTTGGTGAGGTTGAGGAGAAAAGACAATGCTTATACATTGTTGGTGGGAATGAAAACTAGTTCAGTGACTATGGGAAGCAGTTCAGAGATGTCTAAAACAACTTAAAAAAATAGAACTACTATTTGACCCAGTAATCCCACTAAAAATACAAAAATTAACCGGGCATGTTGGTGCATGCCTGTAATCCCAGCTATTTGGGAGGCTGAGGCAGGAGAATCACTTGATCCCAGGAGGCAGAGGTTGCAGTGAGCTGAGATCATGCCAGTGATCTCTAGCCTGGGCGACAGAGTGAAACTCTGTCTCAAAAGAAAAGAAAGAAAAGAAAAGAAAAATAAATAAATAAATATACCTAACCAAAGAGGAGAAAGATCTCTATGAGGAAAACCACAAAACACTGCTGAAAGAAATCATAGATGACACAAACAAATGGAAATATATCCTATAGTCATGGATAGGTAGGTAGAATAAATATTGTAAAAATGACCATACCGCCAAAACCAATCTGCAAATTCAATGCAATTCTCATCAAAATACCATCATCAGTCTTCATAGAACTAGAAAAATCAATCTTAAAATTCACGTGGAACCAAAAAAGAGCTTGCATAGCCAAATCCAGACTAAACAAAAAGAACAAATCTGGAAGCATCACATTACCAAACTTCAAACCATACTACAAGGCTATCATTAGCAAAACAGCATGATGCTGGCATAAAAACAATCATGTAGACCAATGGAGCAGAATAGAGAAACCAGAAATAAAGCCAAATGCTTATAGCCAACTGATTTTTAACAAAGCAAACAAATACATAAAGCAGGGAAGAGGACATCTTATTCAACAAATTCGAGTGCTGGACTAATTGGCAAATCACATGTAGAAGAATGAAACTGGATTCTCATCTCTCAGCTTACACAAAAATCAACTTGAGATGGATCAAAGACTTAAATGTAAGACCTGAAACCATAAAAATTCTACAATATAACATCAAAAAACTTTTCTAGATATTGGCTTAGGCAAAGGGCTCATGACCAAGAACCCAAAAGCAAATGGAACAAAAACAAAGATAAATAGATAAAACTTAATTAAATGTAAAAGATTATGCAGAGCAAAATAAATAATCATCAGAGTTAACAGACAACCCACAGAGTGGGAGAAAATCTTTGCAAACTATGCATCCAACAAAGGACTAAATATTCAGAATCTACAAGGAACTCAAACAAATTAGCAAGAAAACAATAAATAATCCCATCAACACGTGGGCTAAGGACATGAATAGGTAATTCTCAAAAGAAGATACACAAATGACCAACAAACATATGAAAAAAAATCTTAACATCACTGATTATCAGGGAATTCAAACTAAATCCATAATGGAATACTGGCTTACTCCTGTAAAAATGGCCATAATTTAAAAATCAATTAAAAATAAAAAAAATAGAATGTTCCACGTGTTGATGAAAAGACTGTATATTCTGCAGTTGTTGGGTAGAATGTTCTATAAATATCTATTAAGTCCATTTGTTCTAGGATAGAGTTTATGTCCATTGTTTCTTTGTTGTCTTTCTCTCTTGATGACCTGTCTAGTGCTGTCAGTAGAGTATTGAAGTCCCCCACTATTATTGTGTTGCCATCTATCTCATTTCTTAGGTCTAGCAGTAATTGTTTTATAAATTTGGGAGCTCCAGAGTTAGTTGCACATATATTTAGAATTATGATATTTTTCTGTTGGACTAATCCTTTTATAATTATATAGTGTCCATCTTTGTATTTTTTAACTGCTGTTTTTTTTGTTGTTGTTTGTTTGTTTGTTTTGAGATGGAATCTCACTCTGTCGCCCAGGATGGAGTGCAGTGGTGTGATCTAGGCTTACTGCAAGCTCCACCTCCCAGGTTCATGTCATTCTCCTGGCTCAGCCTCCTGAGTAGCTGGGACTTCAGGCACCTGCCACCAAGCCTGGCTAATTTTTTTGTATTTTTAGTAGAGACAGGGTTTCACCGTGTTAGCCAGGATGGTCTTGATCTCCTGAACTCATGATCTGCCTGCCTTGGCCTCCCAAAGTGCTGGGATTACAGGTGTGAGCCACCATGCCTGGCCTAACTGCTGTTGCTTTAAAGTCTGTCTGATATAAGAGTAGCTACTCCTGCTTGCTTTTGGTTTCCATTTGCATGGAATATCTTTTTCCATCTCTTTACCTGAAGTTTATGTGAGTCCTTATGTGTTAGGTAAGTCTCTTGAAGACAACAGATACTTGGTTGTTTGATTTCTATCCATTCTGGCTTTCCATATCTTTTTTTTTTTTTTTTTTTTTTTTTTTTTTGAGATGGAGTCTCGCTCTGTCACCCAGGCTGGAGTGCAGTGGTGCAATCTTGGCTCACTGCAACCTCCGTCTCCTGGGTTCATGGGATTCTCCTGCCTCAGCCTCTCAAGTAGCTGGGACTCCAGGCATGTGCCACCATGCCCGGCTAAGTCTTTTTGTATTTTTAGTAGGGACGGAGTTTCACCATGTTAGCCAGGATGGTCTTGATCACCTGACCTTGTGATCCGCCCGCCTTGGCCTCCCAAAGTCTGGGATTACAGGCATGAGCCACTGTGCTGGGCCCATTCTGTATCTTTTAAGTGGTGCATTTAGACCATTTACTTTCCATGTTAGTATTGATATGTACGGTACTGTTCTATTCATTATGCTAGTTGTTGCCTGGTCACCTTTTTGTGCGTGTGTGTGTGTGTGCACGAGCGCGCGTGTGTGTGTGTTATAGTTTTATAGGCCCTGTGAGATTTATGCTTTCAGGAGGCTCTATTTTTGTATATTTTGAGGTTTTGTTTCAAGATTTAGAAACAAATTTCTTTTAGCATTACTTGTAGTGTTTGCTTGGTAGTGGTAAATTCTCTCAGCATTTGCTTGTCTGAAAAAGACTTCGTCTCTCCTTCATTTATGAAGCTTAGTTTCACTGGATACAAAATTCTTGACTGATAATTATCTTGTCAAAGAGGCTAAAAATAGGACTCCAATCCCTTCTATCTTGTAGGGTATCTGTTGGGACATTTGCTCTTACTCTGATAGGTTTTCCTTTTTGCCTCCCAGCTCTTAAGATTCTTTCCTTCGTCTTGAGTTTAAATAACCTGATGAGTATGTGCCTAGGCAATGATCTCTTTGTGATGAATTTCCCAGATGTTCTTTGAGCTTCTTGTATTTGGATGTCTAGATCTCTAACAAGAGCAAGGAATTTTCCTCAATTATTCCCTCAAATAAGTTTTCCAAACTTTAGAGTTCTCTTCTTCCTGAGGAACACCAATTATTCTTATGCTTGGTCATTTACCATAATCTCTAATTTATTGGAGCCTTGTTCATTTCTTGAAAATTCTTTTTTCTTTGTCTCTGGCAGATTTGGTTACTTCAAAAGCCTTGTCTTTGAGCTCTGATGTTCTTTCTTCTACTTGTTCAATTCTATTGTTGAAACTTTCCAGTGTATTTTGCATTTATCTAAGTGAATTTATCATTTCCAGAAGTTGCAATTGTCTTTTCATTGTGATATCTATTTCTCTGGAGACATTTTCATCCATATCATGTATTTTTTTTATTTCTTTAAGTTGGTTTTCACCTTTCTCTGGTACCTCTTTGAGTAGCTTAATAATCAACCTTATGAATCTTTATCTGGCAATTCAGAGATTTCTTCTTGGTTGGGATCCACTGATGGAGAGCTAGTGTGATTTTTGAGGGTTTTATAGAACCTTGTTTTCTCATATTACCAGAATTACTTTTCTGATTTTTTCTCATTTGGGTAGACAGTTTTAGTGGAAAGATCTAAAACTCAAGGACTGCCATTCAGATTCTTTTGTCCCATGGGGTGATCCCTTGATGTGGTGCTCTCCTCCTTCCCTTCATGACCAGGTTTCCTGAGAGCCAGAGTGTAGCAATTGTTTTTATCTTTCTGAGTCTAGCTACCCACTGGGGCTCCTGGGCTCCTGGCTGATGCTGGAGAATGTCTGCAAAGAGTCCTCTGATGTGATCTGTCTTCAGGTCTCCCAGCCATGAATACCCCCACCTGCTCTAGTGCAGGTGGCAGGGGAGTGAAGTGGACTCTGTGGGAGTCCTTGGTTGTAGTTTTGTTTAGTGCACTGGTTTTCTTGAATGCTGGTTATGCTAGCAGTGAAGTTGTCACACAGATAGACTCAGGACCTCTGATTAGCCATGGTGTTGCAGGCAGTAGAATTAACTGTTGTTTTTTCCTTATTTGTAGCAGAGTTGTTCTGTTTTGAGTTGCTGTAATGGCTTGAGTTAGTTGGCCTCCAGCCAGGAGGTGGCACTTTGAAGAGAGCACCAACTGTGGTAATAGAAGGGGGATATAAGCTTGTCCTACATTGGCCAGGATAAGTACTTGGGTTTCTCAGGCAATTGGCAGGGCCATAGAGTTCCCAAGTGTTCATGTCTTTTGCTTTGCCTACCAGGGCAGGTAGAGAAAAACCATCAGTTGGGGACAGGGTTAAGCAGGTCTGAGCTCAGACTTTCCTTGAGCAGGGCTTGATGTGGCCACTGTGGGGGATGGGTGTTGGTTCTCAGGCCAATGGAGTTATGTTCCCAGGGGGATTATGGCTGCCTCTGCTATGTCATACAGGTCACCAGGGAAGTGGGGAAAAGCCGGCAGTGACAGGCCTCACTTAGTTCCCACGCAGCCAGCAAGGCCAGTCTCACTCTCACTGTGCCCCACTAACAGCACCAAGTTTATATCCAGGCAGCCTGTGAGCAGGGCTGATATTTTGCCCAAGGCTACAAGCCTCCCTTCTGAGAAAGCAAGCAGGGCTCTCAGTCCTCTCCTTTCCCCACCTGCCCTCACCATCAACTGTCACTTCTGTGCTTGTATCTGCACTTCCTGTCTGCCCCCCTCAAACCCAGATTCTACTCAGGAAAATTCATGCTCAGTCAAAGTTATTACAAAATTTAATTGTAATAAACTAGAAGCTTCCTTCACCTTGTGGCCCCTGCCCAATTTCACTGGCTGCTTTCTCCAAGGACCCCTTTGAGGTAATAAAGCCAGGGATGGCTTTCCTGGGCTCGAGCTGATGACCAGGAGTGCCTACAGGGCTCTTCCTTCTGCTGCTTCTGCTTTTATATTTCACTTGGCTCCCTATATCCATTTCAGCTTTAGGTAAGGTTAAATTCTTCTCCTATGATCTGGATTTCCATTTTCCTCAATGGGGATAAGAATTCAAAGTGGACTTTTCCCCCCCTCACACTTTGGGAACTCACAGGTTTTCAGCTGTCTCGGGAGTTCATAGTGGCAAACTGCTTCTTTCAAAGGGTCTGTGAATTCTTTTGGTTTTCCTGGTATGTCCCTGCAGTGGTTCTTGGAGCAAAACTTCACAGTGTGAGTCTCCACACACTGTTCTGTCCATCCAAGTGGGAGCTGCACGTTAGTCCTGTCACCTGTCCACAATTTTCCCCAGCCACCTGTGTTATATTCATTTAACCAGTGAGAAACATAGGCTCTGAGGTCACTGAGCTTGCTCAAGATCACACAAGGGTGGACTGCTGAGCCTACCTCTCAACCTCAACAGCTGTGGCATTCCATCCTTTGTCAGTCACTTCAACTTACCTCTCTTATTTCTTGGAATTTCTCCTATGACCAAAATGAACAAAAGTTGTATATCACTAAGGAGGAAAAGAAATATCTTGGGAGACTACCACGCAGGCCAATTTGAGGAGGATTTGGGAAGGGCAGCCTTCTTGGTGGAGGGGATTCTTTCTGTTGTTACCTCACCAGGACAGAAGTCACTCAATCTCCCTGTGATCAGTGATCCTTTGATGTTACTATTGGGATTGTTGTGGGTCACCACAAACCATACCCATATAAGACGGTGATGTTAATCAATAAATGTGTGTGTTCTGACTGCTCCACCAACCACCTGTTCCTCTGTCTCTTTTCCTTTCCTCAGGTATCCCTATTCTCTAAGAGGAAACGTTGAAATTAGACCATTTAATAACCTTATAATGGCTTCTAAGTGTTCAAGTGAAAAAAAGAGCCTAATGTTTCTCACTTTAAATCAAAAGCTAGAAATAATTAAGTTTAGTGAGGAAACCATGTTAAAGGCCAAGATAAGCTGAATACTAGGCACCTTCTGCCAAATGTTTAGCCAAGTTGTGAATGCAAAGAAAAAGTTCTTGAAGGAAATGAAAAGTTCTCCTCCAGTGAACACACAAATGATAGGAAAGTGAAATGACCTTGTTGCTGATATGGAGAAAATTTGAGTGATCTAGATAGAAGATCAAACCAGCCACAACATTCCTTTAAGTCTAAGCCTAATCCAGAGCAAGGCCCTAACTTTCTTTAATTTTGTAAAGTCTGAGAGAGGTAAGGAAGCTGCAAAGAAAAGTTGGAAGCTAGCAGAGGTTGGATCATGAGGTTTAAGAACGAAGCCATCTTCATATATAAAAGGGCAAGGTGAAGCATCAAGTGCTGATGTAGAAGCTGCAGCAAGTTATCCAGAAGATCTAGCTAAGATTATTGATGAAGGTGGCTACACTAAACAATTGATTTTCAATGTAGATTAAAACAGCTTTATTGGATGAAGATACCATCTTTCATAGCTAGAGAGAAAAAGTCAATGCCTGGCTTCAAAGCTTCAAAGGAGAGGCTGACCCTCTTGTCAAAGGCTACTGCACATGGAAACTTTAAATTAAAGCCATTGCTCATTTGCCATTTTGAAAATCCTATGGCCTTTCAAAATTATGCTAACTTTACTTTGTCTGTGCTCTAGAAATGTAACAAAAAAGTGTGGATAATAGCACATCTGTTTATAGTATGGTTTACTGAATATTTTAATGCCATTATTGAGACCTACTGCTCAGAAAAAAATACTTTAAAAATATTACTGTTCATTGACACACATAGTCACCCAATAACTCCAATGAATATGTAAAAGGAGAAAAGTGTTGTTTCCATGCCTGCTATCACAACATCCATTCTACAGTCCATGGCTCAAGGAGTAATTTTGACTTTCAAGTCTTATTATTTGAGAAATAAATTTCAAAGGGCTATGGCTGCCATAGATAGTGATTCCTCTGATGTATCTGGGAAATGTCAATTGAAAACCTTCTGGGAAGGGTTTATCATCTAGTTGCCATTAAGAACATGGGAAGAGGTTAAGATGTCACCATTAACAGGAGTTTGGAAGGAGTTGATTCAAGCCATCATGATTGACTTTGAAGGGTTCAAGACTTCAGTGGAGGAAGTAACTGCAAATATGCTAGAAATCGCAAGAGAATAAGAATTAGAAGTAGAGCCAGAAGATGAGACTGAATTTCTGTAATCTCATGATAAAATTTGAACAGATGAGGAGTTGCTTCTTACGGATGAGCAAATAATGTAGTTTCTTGAGATGAAATCTACTCCTAGTGAAGATACCATGAACATTGTTTAAAAGACAACAAATAGAATATTACATAAACTTAATTAATAAAGCAGCAGTAGGGTTTGAGAGGATTGATTCCAATTTTGAAGGGCATTTATCTCTCACTCTATATAAAAATCAACTCAAAATAGATTAAAATTCTAAGTATGAGACTTGAAACTATAACATTACTAGAAGCAACAGGGAAAACTATCCAGGACATTAGTCTGAGAAGTGATTTTATGAATAAGAGCTCAAACACGCAGGCAACAAAAACAAAAATAAATGGGATTACATCAAACCAAAAAGCTTCTGCACAATAAAGAGAACAATTGACACAGTGAAAAGGCAATGTACAGAATGAAAGAAAATATTTATAAACTATTCCTGTGACAAGGCTTCACATCCAGAATATACAAGAAACTCAAACATCTCAAAAGCAATGAAATCAAACAATTCAATTAAAAAATTAGCAAATGATCTGAATAAACATTTCTAACAAGAAGATATACAAATAGCCAACAAATATATGAATAAATCCTCAACATCACTAATCACAAAGAAAATGAAAATCAAAGCCACAATAAGGTATAATCTCACCTCAGTTAAAGTGGCTATTAACAAAAAGAGAAATCACAAATACTGTTGAGGTTGTAAGGAAAAGGGCACTCTTACATGCTGTTGGTAGGAATGTGGAAGAGTACAGCCACAATGGAAAAGAGCATAAAGCTTCCTCAAAAAACTACAAATAGAACTACCATATGATCTAGCAATCCCACTAGGTAGATATCTAAAAAAAAAAGGGAAACCAGTATATCACAGAGATATCTACACCCCAATGTTTATTGCAGCACTATTCACAATAGCCAAGATATGGAATCAACCCAAGTGTCCAACAACAGATGAATGGATAAGGAAAATGTGGCATATATACAGCATGGAATACTATTTATCCATAAAAAAAGAATGAAATCCTGTCATTCGTGGCAACATAGATGAGCCTGAAGGACATTATATAAAGTGAAATAAGCCAGAAGGAGAAAGTTGAACATCGCATGTTTTCCTTCACGTGGGGAAGATAAAAATCCCATAGAAATAAAGAGAATAGAGGTTACTAGAGGCTGGGAAGGGTAGGGAAAAGGGGGGAAACAAAGATATGTTAATGGAAACAAATTACAGCCAGATAGGAGGAATGTGTTCTATTGTTTTATAGCATTGTAGGATTACTATAGTTAACAGCACATTAAATTTTCAAATGGCAAGAAGAGAGGATATTGAATGTTTCCAATACAAAGAAATGATAAATGTTTGAGATTATCGGTATGCTAATTACCCTGATCTGACCACTATATATTGTATGTATCAAAATATCACTATGTACCTCATAAATGTGTACAAATATTATGTGTCAATTAAAAAATAAACATTTTAAAATTTGCTATCAAACAGCATTGCATGCTACAGACAAATCTTTCATGAAAGGAAGTAAAGCAATGGAGCAAACTTCATTGTTGTCCTATTTTAAGAAATTGCCACAGCCACCCCAACCTTCAGCAACCACACCCTGATCAGCCAACAGCCATCAACATGGGCAAAACTTTCCATGAGCAAAAAGATTAGGATTTGCTGAAGGCTCAAATGATCATTAACAATTTTTAGCAGCACAATTTAAAAAATTATCATATGTACTTTTTTTGACATGGTGTTATTGCATGCCAAATAGACTCCTGTGTAGTGTAAACATAACTTGTATATGCATTGGTAAACCAAAACCTTTGTGTGACTTGCTTTATTGTGATATCTGCTTTGTTGTGGTGGTCTGGAACTGAATCCACAACATCCCTGTGGTATGCCTGTAATGAAAAAGATACGGTCTCCAGAGGTCAGAGCCAAAGATAATGGAGATAAAAGTAGAGAGATGATACTCCCTGAGTGTGTAGTCAGGCTTTACTTAGGCACATTCTCTACTCTTAAGTAGGGGACCTTCAAGATTTCTGCCTGTTAGGATTTCCGATTTACTATTGAACAGTTTCTGCTATGTGTCTCCTGTAGTTTATCTTTCTAATGAAGTTATTTATTGTGGCTTTTCTGTTCTCTTGTATATTGGGTGTGTAGGGCACAGATGATTTATCTTTTTAGTACAAAGGTCTCCAGATCAAGAGAAACCAATTCTGGACCTGATAAAAAAACAACTTTGCACAAATGCTCTGATAAAAAGATTGCTGCATATAGCCCAGTATTTGAGCTGAATTGTCCCTCCTCCAAAAATCAAACGTTGAAGTCCTAACCCCCAATGTCTCAGAATGTAACTGCATTTGGAGATAGGGCCTTTAAATAAAGAGAAAATTAAGGTAAAATAGTATCATATAGGTTGTCCCTAATTCATCATGACTGTTGTCCTTATAAGAAGAGAAGATTAGGACACAGTCAGGCATAGAGGCAGGACTGTGTGAAGACAAGGGAGAAAAGACAGCTATTTACAATCCAAGGAGAGGGCCCTTGGAAGAATATCCTGCCAATATCTCCATCTTGGACTTCCAAAACTGTGCTTCCAGAACTGTGAAAAATATACTTCTGTTGTTTAGGTCACCCAGTCTGTGGTATTTGTTATGGCAGCCTCAGCAAATGAACACATCCAGATAACTTGAACTTTGTGTTGGATATAGTGGTTGGACAGACTTTTGGGGTGACTCCTTGAAGACGGGTGTGTGCGTATAATGTGTGCACAGCAGCAAGCAAGTAAAAATTCTGTCATTATAAAGGCTGGTTGTGTTAGTCATTAGAGCTATTTATTGATATCTCTGGTTCTTCTCTGTAGTAGTCACCTTCTTCTGGGTTATACTGCTACAACAAAAGACTCCAAACCTTCAGTAGTTTATAAGAACAAAAGTTCGTTTCTCATGTAGTTGACATGTTGACTGTAGGTAGACATGGCTTCACTTTATGTATCTCCTTCGTTCTAGAACAGAGCCTGCCTGAACAGCCCTTATTTGGGACATATCATTTTTTTATCAGGGAAAAGAACAATGACAGAACCATATGATGGCTTTACATTCTTTGCTCAAATGTAACACATATCACTTCTGATTACATTTAATTGGCCAAAGCAAGCCATATGGCCAAACATAATATTGATGAAATGGGAACATGTACTTATCCCACAGTCATGTATACCACACAATGTATGGTAAAGATACACAGTCCTATTGCAGGAGAGCAGCATGTAATTGGTACCAGTAATACAATCCAAGCACATCGCTTAATTACTCATTTAACCTTTTTAAAGTTAAGTGATTAGGCAAATTAAATATGAGTGAACGCAATGTGTGTCACTTTCAAGAAGAAACCTTTAAAGACTATTGCATGATTCACCCCTTTCTTTTCTTCCTGCTGTGGGAGACAGTTGGGGGATGTTCAGTTCACGTGTATTCCTGATGGAGAAAGGGGAGAAGAGCCCTTGGTCAACTTGTAATAGACAGGTAGTATGAACAAGAAGTTCATCTTTGCTTTCTGAAGCCACTGAGATTTTAGAGTTGTTTGTTACCACAGTATAACATAATACATTCTTTCTGGCATAGATGCTAAAAGTTATTTGAAAACCACTCATTGATTTAAAGAAACTACCACATAGAACACAGTCATAACCCGTTTGTTTGCATAGTTCTATGCACAATAAGTGCTTAGCAATATAAGACAACTTATCTCTCATATGCTTTCTGTAACTACAGTTGCTTCTCTTTATGAAAATGATCCTAACTATTGTGATGATTAATTATTTCTCTCTTTGTGCTGCTCCTTATGGTAGAAGATACTGAGAAAGTTGTTTGCCTGTCATGCCTTCTGAAGGAATTGTTCCCTTTCTCTCCATCTGAGTGGTTGTAGTAAAAATCGCCATGTGATATAATGTTACTGAAATGGCAAGGGCACACTAAGTTGGGCAAATAAGTTTTTTTCTGGGAAATTCCATCTAGAACTAAGAGAGTTGAACAGGGCTCTTGGTGTGTGCCTGGATTGTAACATCAAAGTTGAGACCTGCTGCCAGCCAGCTTTTACTGTGTGGTAATCTGTGGAGCAGAGGAAGCCAGGCTTCAGCTGCAGGGATAACCACATAGACATGCACAGCAGAGTTGGAGAGGAAAGTCAGGAGTATTTGAGTTCCTGGGACCAGTTTGACCTTGGCCACATCTGAAGTAGCTAAAGATATATATCAGGTATCCACAAAATATGGACTGAGGACCAAATTTGGTCATTTTATTAATAAAGTTTTATTAGAGCACATTCATACCCATTTGTTTGCATAGTGTCTATGGCTGCTTTTGCACTATAATGGCAGAGTTGAGAAGATATGATAGAGCCTTATCGCCCACAAAAGCCTAAAATCTGTACTATCTGTTATTTTTTTAAGACAAAGTTTGCTGACCCTTGATATATGCTACCTCATCCTTTAAAAACTGTACATTTTCATATTTTTATATAAAAATACAAATTCATAAATGCCTCATATATACATTATAATTTTTATGTAAATTCATAGATGTAATTTTCACAGGTAGTAGTGTAGAATCAAAAATGATTGTACAGCACTGATATAGGCAATAAAGAGTCTCTGGAAGTATTTGATCAAGGCAACAGCATAAACAGATCAACAGGACAATTCTAGGGTCAATTTGAATAGGAGAGAATAGGAGAATAGGATCAATTTGAATAGGAGAGGAAGTTAAAACTGATGTGAGAGTTTTGCAATTTAGACTAAAAAAAATACTTTAAAACTGGTTGGGAAAAGTAGCAGTTGGGATGAATGGAGAGGAGAGGACTCATGCAAGTGACTCAGATGTGGCCTTTCAGCAGTTATTCCCCTACAGATGACAAACTCCAGGTTTGAGGGAACAGATTGCTTGGCTACGAGAAACCATCAATAATGATTTGCGTGATCATCTCATCTTGGCCCAGTCCCCATTCCAACCAAGTTATTAATACACACATTATTCTTCTTAAAGAAATAGAGAAACACATTCCATATTGCCACAGAAAGGAATTCTCTGTGATTTATGCTGAAGTGCTCCTAGAACTTTTTTTTCAATCATTCATCTTCAAGAAATACTAAAGATAAATATATCATGAATCCAGAGGTGCTTCTAGTCAGCATCTGGAGATGATCTTGAGAATACAAATCTGTTATCATTTTTCACCACAGGCCTCAACTGTCAGAACATGTAATAAACATAACCAGCCAGAGGACTGAGGGGAGGCAGAAGGCACACAGTTAACCACTGCAGCAGAAAGTAGCAGAAATGAAGGTATGCTCGCCCTGTACCTACTTTTCATAAACCACCACTCTCTTTTTTTCTAACAAACGTTTGAATGCTAAACACACTACTATTGCTGATACTTTCCAAGGGTGTAATGTTTCTTTAAATTGTCATATGGAGAGGCAGTTTAGTGTAATAGAAAGGACATAGGCTATAAAGCCAATCAAATCCTTGTCCTGCTACTTAATAGCTGTGTGACCTAAAAATTCCTTAACTCTGCTGACTACTATTTTCATGGCTATCAAATAGACTTGTCTATAAAGCCGTAATGTAAGTGAGACTATTATCAGAGCCTAGAAAAAAAGTTGTTGTAATTATCATTACAAAACCATTCTTGCATTACCACTACACATTCACCAGATGATTAAATGAAATAAACATAAAATACATACCATTGGTGAGAATATGGAGCAAGTAAAGTTCTCATACATTGCTGGTTAGAATGTGAAATTGGTACAACTCACTTTGGCAGTACCGACTAAGCTGAACGTATCCTAGTACTTAGCAATTCCACTCCTAGATATGCACCCAAAATAACTGCTTATGTAAGTTCACCAAAAACATGAAATAGAATGTTCAAAGCAGCACTATTCATAATAGCATATAACTAGAAATTGCCCTAATGCCCATCAATAATATAAGGCAGGTATCAGCAAACATTTTCTGTAAAGAGCCAGATGGTAAATTTTCAGTCCAAGAGGCAAAACTGAATTATAAGTGCATCATTAATATTTCTGGTGCCCCAAGCAACAGTGCAAAGCAATAGTACTACAGATGGTCTCTGTTGTAACTACTTCACTCTACCATTGTAACGTGAAAGCAACCACAGATAATATGAGAATGAGTAAGCATGATATGTTCCATAAAGTTATTTATAGACACTGAAATTTAAATTTCATATAATTATCATGTGCCATGAAATATCACTCTTTTGATTTTTTAAAACATTTAAAAATGTAGAAAACATTCTTAGCTTTCAGGCTGTACAGAAATAAGAGCCGGGCCAA
This sequence comes from Homo sapiens, assembly GCF_000001405.40. Lineage (NCBI taxonomy): Eukaryota > Metazoa > Chordata > Mammalia > Primates > Hominidae > Homo > Homo sapiens. The sequence continues at coordinate 56,097,711 of NC_000001.11, read as the reverse complement.
ATTTGGCCCATGAATTGTAGTTTCCTAACCCTTTGTACAGTGGATAAATAAATTGTACCTTCACACAGTGGAATACTATACAACACTGAGAATGAAAAAATACAAGTGTACACAACAGTATGGATAAATTTCATGGATATAACATTAAGTCAAAGAAGCTGTTTATATAAATGGAATCATATACTTTTTTGTATGATTCAATTTATATAAACTTCGAAAACATGGAAACTAATCTATGGTTTTATAAGTCACCATAGTGTTTACTGAGTAGGGGGTAGTAACAAAAAATGGGAATGAAAGAGATTCTGGAGTGAATGGTAATGTCTATTTCTTCATTTGGCTTGTTCATTTATAAAAGTTCAATAAGGCAAATGCTTGTGATATGTATGCTTTTCTGTATGTATATTATATTTAAGAAACACTGAAAAAATTCCAACCAATTCCATTCTTCAGAGCAGGCTTCCTCTACTTCACATGTAGCTAACAAATTTCTTGGTGCTCCTCCCCAATTTTGTTACCTTATTTTCTATTGCTAGAGAATTGAAAACACCAATTTGTCCTTGGTTTTTTAGTGGAAAGAATAGCTGATATACAGTGTAGAATCCTGTACTTAGAAATGAAGATCTGAGTTGAACTCCACTGTGTATTAATTGATTAATTGTGTAACTATGGGGAGGCACTTAGTCTTTCTGAGTTTTTGTCATCTGGAAAATGGGGAAATAATTCCTTCTTTATAGGTTTGATGTAAAGATTACCCTTGATAATGAGGAATTGTTCTGTTAAGCTGTACATGTCTATACAAATTATCATTGTTTATGACATTCCTTGCTTAACTACCCACAATGATCAAGTTCAACCGTATTCATCTTCTTTCTTCCCTATCTTCTACTCCTCTGTTTGGAGAGGCAGTATAGCATAGTGGTTAGGAACATAGACTCTCAGTTCAAACCTGGACTTTCCACTGGTATTGCAGTTTCTCTGAGCCTCACTTTCCTCCGTGGTAAAACACCTACTTCATATTGTTCCTTTAAAGGTTCTGGTAGCCAGCCTGCAAGATGGTCTCATAGATCCTGCCCTCCTGGTATTCTCACCCTGGTGTAGTGCTCTCCCATACTGTACCAGGGTTTGTCTCTGACAATAGGATATGCTGTAAATAAGGGAATTCCACTTCTGAGATGAAGGAAGTTAGGAAACATTGTGGCTTCTGCCTTGAGTGCTGTCTCTGTCTTGGGTTACTCACTTTGTGGGAAGCCGGCTGCTATGTCAAGCATCCCCATGGAGAGGCCCACATGGTGAGAAACTGAGGCCTGCCAAAAACCACATGTGACTTGGATTTTGTTCCTCCATCCTGAGGTAAGCTTTAAAATGACTGTAGCCCTGGCTACAACCTCATGAAAAACCCAGTCCAGCAAGCTACTCTCAGATTTCTGACCCTCAGAAACTGTTAAATGATAAATGAACTAACAGCAGTAAATAGGACCTGATGCATACCATTCATGCAATAAAATATTAGGTGTTATTATTATCTGCCCCGAAAAAGCTGGCACTTCCACGTTTGTAAATCCTGTTGCTGATGCTGCTATATTGTGCAATGCAACAGCCAGTGTCAATGGACAGAGCATAGGCAGTTTCTCTCCCTTTTCCTGGTCCCCATTAGATAAAACATTAAGTGTCTTCTGTCTGAGGAACATTGGCCCTAGTGTGTGGCTGGGAGTCTTTATGGAAATGATTCCCCATTCTAGAATATTTTCTTCAAGGAACCTGCCTCCAAACCCCACGCTCTTGCCTTCTGACTTTTCCTTGTACTTCCTGTTCTTCAATTCCCTTTCTTGTTTTCTCAATCATGCTGATGATTCAGATTCTCCTACTTTTGGGATGTGGTCTTCTGTTCCCTTTATCATGGGCTCCACAACTGCCAGGTCGGCCATGGAGTCAACTGGTCCTTCTGACAGCAGAGGTTGAGATGGAGTTAGGGGTACTATATAAGGGCTCTGCTGAAGGTACTATGAAAGGCAACAGGAAAAGAAGCAGGATGGGGCAGGGAACACCTGCAGACCATGATGTAGATCCAATACCTGGGAAAGACAGATGAGAGTCAAGATTGGGTTGAAGAAACCTCAGATCATGATGCAGGTTTGATAAGAGCACTGATGCAACAGTCAGCCACAGAGCAAAGATAAGCTGAAAGAGGAGTCCTAATTCATGCTGAAATGGCCACTTGGCATTTTTACCATGCTCAGCCATTAGCAAGGGGCTATCTGGGACTTCTGAGACCTCGGCAAGAAAGCCGAGATGAGTCCTAAAGGAGCTAGTATCTGGAGGAGTCAGCTCACTGTACTCCTTGCACCTACGGCAAGTTGTTTCTTGAAGGATGGTCCAAGCCGTGCCCCTCCATGGCTTCTACAGCCATATTCTTCCCCATTGCCAAGCCTGGCCTCCTAGAAGCCCCCCTTGTGTCAAACACTGGGGGTTCCCGCATGCTTGGAAACAGGGCTGTTACATCCCCTGGGCTACTGCAGGCAGGGAGAAATAAAATGAATGGAGTGTCAATATGAAGAAAGAAGACACTCATAGAAGTAAGAAGAGAATTAATTATCTCTATGGCAACTTTAGTGGGCACAGAATGTTTGGTAATAATCGTCATGTTTTTGCTGTGCATATATTATGCATTCTGTACTGTGCAAGGTATTTGCTATAAGAAACCCAGAACTGTCAAATTATAAACTCGCAAGGGACTCTGGTGCCTAGTTAAGTTTCCCTCCCACAGAGCAGGAATCCCTTCTAGAATGCCCCACAGGTTCAGTGTCCTCTTACATACATCCAGTGATGGCAGACTTTTCACATCCAGCTATCTCCTTGGTTGTTGGACAGCTCTAGTTGATAAAATCTTCCCCCTCAAGTGGAATTCAAAATGACCCATCTCCATTAATTTCTGAAGTCAGTTTCATAAGACTTATTGATCTCTTATTTATTAATCTTTTAAATAGTTGAAGATAGTTGTCATTGTTCCTGAAATGCTTTTGGGGAGGGGAGGCAATAGAGCCTCTGATTCCTTAACTATAAAACAATAGGGAGTTATTCCTACTGATCACTAGGGTCTCTTTAAGGTCCAAAAGTCTGTGAAGTAATGAAAACTTCATGAAACAATTTTCAAATAAAAGAGAGCTTCATATAAATTAAAAAACAATGCACTCACTCTGAAGTGTTTGTTGTACATTTCCTCTGGAGCACACTGGGACTCAGGAATAGTGGGACCATCTGCTTAGCCATTGCCCATTTATGTTGAAATAAAACAGGCTCTCTTGCTAATTAGAAGCATGCTCCTCAAGATGAAACAATACAATCTCTCCAACATTTCCCCACCATTAGCAATTCCTGATGTTGACACAACATGTGAATACAACCCCCACTTCCCATCGGGAAGAAAATAAAATAGGCATGATAGTTCACAGCACAAGAAAGAATTCTTTATACTTACACTGAACTAGCATACACGGATGCACTATGTGCCGGCTTCCAGAATAGGTATTTTCTCATATATTACGTTATTTTCTCATATATTACGTTATTTTATTTAATCCTCGCAAGAACATTATGAGGTAGATTTTATTAACTCTACATTTCAAATGAGGAAATCTGCGCCTCAGAAAAATTGAGGAATTTGTTCAAGGTTACCTAGCTGACAAATGGATAAACTAGGACCTCCTGACTTGAAGTCCAGTGCTCTGTCCATCTACCAGCTACAAGAAAAGATCTTAATAAAACCCCCATTCCTAGGTATGTAGAGTATGTAGATACCTTATTTTGGGTGACCTCAGAAGTAGACCCCTAAAAGCAAGGATTTAGGTAAAAGTAGTTTATTTAAGAGGATAAGGAAATACCAAAATAGAATTGGTAAAGTGAGTCAAAGAAGGGAAATAGCCAACAAATTGTGCATTTTCAAACCTACTACTACTGTGGACAACTGGAACTAAACGCTGTTGGAAAAATTCTGAAAACCAGTGCACAGAATTAACTTACCTGAGGGGAAATGGGCTGGGGTATTTATAAACCAACTCCTTTAGTCATCGGTTGAGGTCTTTTTTTCAGCAGATGTTAACTTTCTGGCACTAACCTGCTGCAGATGCAGACAAAGCATGCTTCAGTTGCCTGAGAAAGACCTCAGGCAGAGAAATTCACAAGCTTGCAATTGGAGGTCAGGTTAGTGTGCACTAAAATAAAGGCAAGGGGTTATCGGCAGAGCCCAGATAGCACTTTGTATAGCAACTAAGTGTCAGATACTATGCAATCTGTCAGCAAATATATCTTGACTACCAACTGTGTGGGATGACACAATTGTGACATAACACACACACATGCTTGCATGAGGCTCATTATGCAGGAAGTAGGACAGAACTAAGTCATTCTAAATAAAAATGAAATAATTAAAATGTGCTAAGTGTTGGAAAATCTCTGAAAGGGATCTCCCACTTTCTAGCCAAAGGACTGGGCATAGGGACTTTCCATGAGCTGGAGAGTATGGGAAGAAATCCCTGTTGTTCATTTGTTTTTCTTTTTTTCATTCCTTTTTTTTTCCTGGCATTTCCCTAGCTCCAGCCCCATTTGGGAAGCTGCATGGCAGTTGGGGGATTGTGGTGTGGGCCTCTAAGTTCCAAGGAGATAGCCTGTTTCTCTGGCCTAATTAACTGAGTAAAAGACTCCTCCAGCCTGAAGAATGTAGGGGAAATCCCTGTTTCTCCATCCTCTTTCTTTTGTTTTCTTTTTCTTTTTCTTTTTTTTCTTTTTTCTTTTTTTTTTTTTTGCATTTTATTTTTATTTATTTATTTATTTATTTATTTATTTATTTATTTTGAAGTGGTTTTCTTTTTTTTTTTTCTTTTTTTTTTTTATTATTATACTTTAAGTTTTAGGGTACATGTGTACATTGTGCAGGTTAGTTACATACATATACATGTGCCATGCTGGTGTGCTGCACCCACTAACTCGTCATCTAGCATTAGGTGTATCTCCCAATGCTATCCCTCCCCACTCCCCCCACCCCCCAACAGTCCCCAGAGTGTGATGTTCCCCTTCCTGTGTCCATGTGATCTCATTGTTCAATTCCCACCTATGAGTGAGAATATGTGGTGTTTGGTTTTTTGTTCTTGCGATAGTTTACTGAGAATGATGGTTTCCAATTTCATCCATGTCCCTACAAAGGACATGAACTCATCATTTTTTATGGCTGCATAGTATTCCATGGTGTATATGTGCCACATTTTCTCAATCCAGTCTATCATTGTTGGACATTTGGGTTGGTTCCAAGTCTTTGCTATTGTGAATAATGCCGCAATAAACATACGTGTGCATGTGTCTTTATAGCAGCATGATTTATAGCTCTTTGGGTATATACCCAGTAATGGGATGGCTGGGTCAAATGGTATTTCTAGTTCTAGATCCCTGAGGAATCACCACACTGACTTCCAGTATGTGGTCAATTTTGGAATAGGTGTGGTGTGGTGCTGAAAAAAATGTATATTCTGTTGATTTGGGGTGGAGAGTTCTGTAGATGTCTATTAGGTCCACTTGGTGCAGAGCTGAGTTCAATTCCTGGGTATCCTTTCTGTCTCGTTGATCTGTCTAATGTTGATAGTGGGGTGTTAAAGTCTCCCATTATTAATGTGTGGGAGTCTAAGTCTCTTTGTAGGTCACTCAGGACTTGCTTTATGAATCTAGGTGCTCCTGTATTGGGTGCATATATATTTAGGATAGTTAGCTCTTCTTGATGAATGGATCCCTTTACCATTATGTAATGGCCTTCTTTGTCTCTTTTGATCTTTGTTGGTTTAAAGTCTGTTTTATCAGAGACTAGGATTGTAACCCCTGCCTTTTTTTGTTTTCCATTTGCTTGGTAGATCTTCCTCCATCCTTTTATTTTGAGCCTATGTGTGTCTCTACACTTGAGATGGGTTTCCTGAATACAGCACACTGATGGGTCTTGACTCTTTATCCAATTTGCCAGTCTGTGTCTTTTAAGTGGAGCATTTAGTCCATTTACATTTAAAGTTAATATTGTTATGTGTGAATTTGATCCTGTCATGATGATGTTAGCTGGTTATTTTGCTCGTTAGTTGATGCAGTTTCTTCCTAGTCTCGATGGTCTTTACATTTTGGCACGATTTTGCAGCAGCTGGTACCGGTTGTTCCTTTCCATATTTAGCGCTTCCTTCAGGAGCTCTTTTAGGGCAGGCCTGGTGGTGACAAAATCTCTGAGCATTTGCTTGTCTGTAAAGTATTTTATTTCTCCTTCACTTATGAAGCTTAGTTTGGCTGGATATGAAATTCTGGGTTGAAAATTCTTTTCTTTAAGAATGTTGAATATTGGCCCCCACTCTCTTCTGGCTTGTAGGGTTTCTGCCAAGAAATCCGCTGTTAGTCTGATGGGCTTCCCTTTGAGGGTAACCCGACCTTTCTCTCTGGCTGCCCTTAACATTTTTTCCTTCATTTCAACTTTGATGAATCTGACTATTATGTGTGTTGGAGTTGCTCTTCTCGAGGAGTATCTTTGTGGCGTTCTCTGTATTTCCTGAATCTGAACGTTGGCCTGCCTTGCTAGATTGGGGAAATTCTCTTGGATAATATCCTGCAGAGTGTTTTCCAACTTGGTTCCATTCTCCCCATCACTTTCAGGTACACCAATCAGACGTAGATTTGGTCTTTTCACATAGTCCCATATTTCTTGGAGGCTTTGCTCATTTCTTTTTATTCTTTTTTTCTCTAAACTTTCCTTCTCACTTCATTTCATTCATTTCATCTTCCATTGCTGATACCCTTTCTTCCAGTTGATCACATCGGCTCCTGAGTCTTCTGCATTCTTCACGTAGTTCTCGAGCCTTGGTTTTCAGCTCCATCAGCTCCTTCAAGCACTTCTCTGTATTGGTTATTCTAGTTATACATTCTTCTAAATTTTTTTCAAAGTTTTCAACTTCTTTGCCTTTGGTTTGAATGTCCTCCCGTAGCTCAGAGTAATTTGATCATCTGAAGACTTCTTCTCTTAGCTCATCAAAGTCATTCTCCGTCCAGCTTTGTTCTGTTGCTGGTGAGGAGCTGTGTTCCTTTGGAGGAGGAGAGGTGCTTTGATTTTTAGAGTTTCCAGTTTTTCTGTTCTGTTTTTTCCCCATCTTTGTGGTTTTATCTACTTTTGGTCTTTGATGCTGGTGATGTACAGATGGGTTTTTGGTGTGGATGTCCTTTCTGTTTGTTAGTTTTCCTTCTAACAGACAGGACCCTCAGCTGCAGGTCTGTTGGAGTACCCTGCAGTGTGAGGTGTCAGTGTGCCCCTGCTGGAGGGTGCCTCCCAGTTAGGCTGCTCAGGGGTCAGGGGTCAGGGACCCACTAGAGGAGGCAGTCTGCCGGTTCTCAGATCTCCAGCTGCGTACTGGGAGAACCACTGCTCTCTTCAAAGCTGTCAGACAGGGACATTTAAGTCTGCAGAGGTTACTGCTGTCTTTTTGTTTGTCTGTGTCCTGCCCCCAGAGGTGGAGCCTACAGAGGCAGGCAGGCCTCCTTGAGCTGTGGTGGGCTCCACCCAGTTCGAGCTTCCCGGCTGCTTTGTTTACCTAAGCAAGCCTGGGCAATGGTGGGCGCCCCTCCCCCAGCCTCTCTGCCGCCTTGCAATTTGATCTCAGACTGCTGTGCTAGCAATCAGCGAGACTCCGTGGGGTAGGACCCTCCAAGCCAGGTCGGGGATATAATCTCGTGGTGCGCCGTTTTTTAAGCCCGTCGGAAAAGCGCAGTATTCGGGTGGGAGTGACCCGATTTTCCTGATTTTCCAGGTGCCGTCCGTCACCCCTTTCTTTGATTAGGAAAGGCAACTCCCTGACCCCTTGCACTTCCCAAGTGAGGCAATGCCTCGCCTGCTTCGGCTCGCGCACGGTGCGCGCACCCACTGACCTGCGCCCACTGCCTGGCACTCCCTAGTGAGATGAACCTGGTACCTCAGATGGAAATGCAGAAATCACCCGTCTTCTGCGTTGCTCAGGCTGGGAGCTGTAGACCGGAGCTGTTCCTATTTGGCCATCTTGGCTCCTCCCCTCTCTTTTTTTTCTTGTATCTGTTTTTTTTTTTTTTTTTTTTTGAGACAGAGTCTCACTCTGTCACCCAGGTTGGAGTGCAATAGCATGATCTCTGCTCACAGCAACCTCCGCTTCACAGGTTCAAGTGATTCTCCTGCCTCAGCCTCCCAAGTAGCTGAGACTGCAGGTGCCCACCAGCATGCCCAGCTAATTTTTGTATTTCTACAGAGATGGGGTTTCACCATGTTGGCCAGGCTGGTCTTGAACTCCTGACCTCAGGCGATCCACCCACCATGGCCTCCCAAAGTGCTGGGATTAAAGGCATGAGCCACCGTCCCTGGCCCATCCCCTTTCTTTTCTCAGTGTACTTTGCCCCAATGGTAGACACATTTGTATTGAATTTTTTTTTTTTTGGGGACAGGATCTCACTCTATTGCCCAGGCTGGAGTACAGTGGCACAAGCTCAGCTCACTGCAACCTCTGCCTCCCAGGGTCAAGCAATCCTCCCACTTCAGCCTCCTGAGTACCTGGGATTACAGGCAGCACTACCATGCCCAACTAATTGTTGTATTTTTAGTAGAGACAGGGTTTTGCCATGTTGTGCTGGCTAGTCTTGAACTCCTAAGCTCAGGCAATCCACTTGTCTCAACCTCCTAAAGTGGTGGGATTACACGTGTGAGCCACCATAACTGGCCCGTTATTACATAATTGTTTGTCAACATAGGGGGATAAAATACTGAAAGGAATCCTGAATTTCTAGCCAAAGAACTCAGAAAAGGAGTTCTCTAGTTCCCATGAGAACCAAAAAGTATGATGGAATCTTGGAGGAAGAGTTCTTGGAAGGGAACCCTAAGTCTGTGTATGAACTAACACAGTCCCTAACTTACCCTCAAAATGGATGTGTATGGAACAAACCTAAATAAAGTAAAACAAAGTCTGAAAACTGAACTTATGTTGGAACTAATCCACAGCAAGTGGGATAAAATGTGTGATCTGAACCTAACTGATTTAATTGCTAAGGCAACAATAACAAGTCAACATTTGTTAGAAAATATAGGATCTTACAACAAAATATTCAAAATGTTCAGGGTGTAATCCAAAATTACTTTATATACAAAGGACCAGGAAAATATACCTACCCCTTAGGGGAAAATAAAATCAATAGGTATCAACCCTGAGATAACCTAGATGTTGGAATTATCACACCTAGACTTTAAAGCAGTTATTACAACCATTCTCTAGAAGGTAAAGATGAATACTGTTGAAATAAATGAAAAGATGGAAGCTTTCAGGAGAGAAATAGAAAATTATAAAAAAAGATTCAAATTGAAATGTTAGAACTGAAAGATTTAAGAACTGAAGTAAATAACTCACTGTATGGTCTCCCTAGCAAAATGAAGTGAACAGAGGAAAGAGTCACTGAATTTGAAGGCAGGTCAATAGAAATTATTCAGTCATAACTACAGGGAGGAAAGAAGATTGCAAAAATATGAAAAGAGCCTCAATAACCTGTGGAACATAAGGATATTTGTAATCTAGCTATGAAGTAAAATAATAAAATGAACACCTAAGAACTAATTACCAAACGTAAAAAGTAAGATGTTATTAATACTCTAGCTACTTCTGTGTTCTTCACTTCTCCTTATTATCATGTCTTCTTTTCATAGGCAACCTCCCTTTTGATTTTTATATTTATCATTTTTCCCATAGTTTTATCACATGTATTTATTCTTCAAACTATATATTTCAAAATTAGTTTTGTTATAATACTGAATATAATAATTGGAAACTCACTTTACAACTAAGATTCATCTGGCCGGGTGCAGTGGCTCACGCCTGTAATCACAGCACTTTGGGAGGCCAAGGCGGGTGGATTACCTGAGGTTGGGAGTTTGAGACCAACGTGACCAACATGGAGAAACCCTGTCTCTACTAAAATACAAAATTAGCCAGGCGTGGTGGTGCATGCCTGTAATCCCAGCTACTCAGGAGGCTGAGGCAGGAGAATCGCTTGAACCTGGGAGGCAGAGGTTACAGTGAGCCGAGATCACACCATTATACTCCAGCCTGGGCAACAAGAATGAAACTCTGTCTCAAAAAAAAAAAAAAGATACATCTATGCAGTAATCTGTAGCTATAGTTATTGTTCTATAATATTTAAATGTGTAACTATGCCATGATTCAAATATCATTTTCCTATATAATAATAATGTGTTATTAATATCATGTTAGTCATGATAACAAATAGAGAATATACTCCCACTTTGTTGTTTTTCTTTGTCCTTCAACTTTTAAGTTTAGGGGTACATGTCCAAGTTGTGCATGTTCGTTACATAGGTAAATGTGTGTCATGGTGGTTTTCTGCACAGATCATCCCATCACTTAGGTATTAAGCCCAGCATCCATTAGCTATTCTTCCTATGTTCTCCCTCCCCAACCCCTGACAGCCCCCAGTGTGTGTCGTTTCCCCCCATGTGTTCATGTGTTCTCATCATCTGGCTCCCACTTGTAAGTGAGAACATGCACTGTTTGGTTTTATGTTCCTGCATTAGTTTGCTGAGGATACTGGATTCCAAATTCATCCATGTCCCTGCAAAAGACATGATCTTGTTTCTTTTTATGACTGCATAGTATTCCATTATCCTCCCACTTTGAAAGCATCTTAGTTATTATTTGACCATTGTTCTTTCAAATACGTTTTAGAATTATGGAGTCAGTTTTCTCAGAACACCATAATGGAATTTTACCTATTTATTTATTTTGCTATTACAAGCAATGTTGCTGTAAAATTCTTTTGCATGTCTCTTGATACACATTTGTATCATTTCTCTGGAGAAAAATCTTCAGGAATGGAACTTCTGTGTCATAGGGTATGTAAATATTTAATTTTATAAAACAATGCCAACTAATTATTGTACTTATTTACATTCCCTTCACATCCTCAACAACAAATGTCATTTGTTTTTTTTGTTAATATGGTGAATAAAAATTAATTATGATTTTTTTGTTAATGATTTTTTAAATGATTTTTCTGTTAATATGGTGAATAAAAATCATATCCCAATTTTCATTTCCTAGACTACTATGTTGAACATCTTTTCAAATATTTAATTGCCATATGTGTGTAATTTTTTTGTGAAATGCCAATTCATATTTTCCATTTTTCTTGAGTAATTTGACTTTTCTTATTAATTTGTAATAGTTACTTTTACATACTGTACACAATCCTTTGTCACTTAAAAGTGTTACAAATACCTTCTTCTAGTTTTTGGCTTATTTTTTCACTGTCTTTATGGTTTCTTTATGAATAAAAGTCTTCAAATTCAATACAGTTGAAGGTATCACTTTTTCGTTTTATATTATCATTTTTGCGTGTCTTAATAAGTCATTTTAACCCCATTCTCATATATTTTTCTGTAAAATCTATACATCTTAAAGTTTTTCTGATATATATATATAAATATATACATATTCGTTTTTTGGATATCCAATTGGCATAGAACCATTTAATAAATAAATCCTCTTTTCTCAAATAATCTGTGGGGCTTCTCAGTGAGATAACAATTTTTCCTATATGTGGAGGTCTTTTTTAGAATTCTCTATTGTAATCCTATGGTTGATTCATCTGTGCCTGCATCAATACCAGACTGTCTTAATTAATAAACTTTATAATGAGTTTTGATAACTAATAGAGGATATTCTCCCACTTTGAAAGCATCTTAGTTATTATTTGACCTTCACTCTTCCATATATAGTTTAGAATTAGGGAGTCAGTTTTCTCAGAACATTATAATGGAACTTTAATTGGAAATGTATTAAATTTATAGATCAATATGGAGAGAGTTAACGTATTTATAATAGTCTTTCTATGAATATGGTATAGCTCTTCATTAATTTAAGTCTTCATGTAAGTTATATTTTATAGATATTTGGCCTTACCTTATTGTTTCATATGAGTGCTTTATGTATTCTGGAGGTTTATAAGAATTAACTTTTATATGTTGATCTTATAAGCAGCCACCTTTTAAAATTATTTATTTATTTATTTATTATTTTTTGCTATGGAGTCTTGCTCTGTCATCAACCAAGGCTGGAGTGCAGTGCTGTGATCTTGGCTCACTGCAACCTCCACAAGATTCTCCTGCCTTACCTTCCTGAGTAGTTGGGATTACAGACACTCACCACCACGCCTGGCTAATTTTTGTATTTTTAGTAGAGACAGGGGTTTTGCCATGTTGGCCAGGCTGGTCTCAAACTCCTGACCTCAGGGGATCTGCCTGCCTCGGCCTCCCGAAGTTCTGGGATTACAGGCATGAGCCACTACGGTCAGCCACATTTTAAAAACATCTTATTATTTCTAAAAAATGGTCGATAGATTATTTTAGGCTTCCTATCAATACTTACATAATTTTCAAATATGATAGTTATATATTTTTTATTTTTCCCCAGGCCTAATTATTTTTGTTTTTTCCCCTTGTTTGATGTCTCTAAGGAATCAGGTTCTGTTTCTTACAGAACTTTGGGACTATCTATCACCTAAGACAAAAAGAAAAAAATAAAAACTTGTGGGATGTGCACTTTTTCTTTCATCAAGGAGAATGAGAAGATCACATCCACTTAAAACATTTTAAAGGGATGATGGGAAATAAAGTTGTGTTTAATTGTTCTACAAGTCATGCCAGTTCAATATATTAGTTGTTTCATATTGTCCCTAATTAAGACTTATTAGGTATCATTATTTCCATTTTACAGATGAAGAAATTGAGAGTAAGAAATGGAACATATGTTGTCCAAGGTCACAGCCCTCTAAAGTATTGGAGCTGCAATTTGAACCCAAGTCTGTCGGTCTGGATTGTTGCAGTATGCCAGGCTCCCTCAACTTTAGGTGAGGACAGGAAAAGGCAAAAGACGTCCCTGAATTTGTAACTTAAACAATAGAGTGCACTAGGACATTGTTATAGAATGGAGAAGACCACAGAAAGTTTGTGGAGGGGTTGAGAAAAAGGGTTTGCTTCTTGACATATTTTTCTTTCAAGTTAATACCCATTTCCCCCTCTTGGTCTAGTTCACAGATGATTAAGTTCTCTTTGTTACTATATGGAGAAAAATTATCATATTGGAAATGTCCTTAGCAACTTGAGAGAATAACACTCTCTTCTTTTTGCTATCTTGTAACCTAACCCTGTGGTCAGCTGTTTGCCTGTGTCCTTTGAGCCAGCCAAGAATAGCCACTGTCGGTCCTTAGCTCTACAAAAGCCACCCTAGGCCAGGGCCTACAGCTGGATGACATTTTTTATTTATGGAAGTAATCCAAATCATTACTCTTATGATATCTAAGTCATTGAAGATCCTGTTTTGAGTGATGTATAGTTTTCCATTGAATAGGACTATTCAAAGGAGAGCAAGAAGTACCCCAAAGGGCCCCCTGAACTCCAGACACAGCCTTATTCACCACTGTAATGTAGTAGTAGCACCCCAATTTACATCTGGTAATTGGGATTGAATACTTCTGCTGGAACAGTGACACTCTTCTCTGTTGGTTCAGCAGCTCAAGAAGACTTAACATATGGGGGAGAGGTAGTCTCAGCTTTTCATTCAACAGAAATAGAACTTTTTCTCTGGTGGAAGTATTTCTTCCTCGGAGCAGTAGGAACCCAAGCTTTCTGAGCCCAGGGTGGTGATTTGGCAAGCAAAACTTTTTCTATAGGATGTTGTCTTCTACCTGGTGCCAAAAGAGAGCCTTTATTAGGCCATTCTATCATTTTGTCAAGCCAGCTATATCTGAGCAATGGGGCACATGGTAATGCTAGTGAATTCTATGAGTGGGAACCCACTGTCTCGCTTTCTTTGTTATGAAATATTTTCATTAGTTGGAAGCAAAATTATACTGGACATTATAACAATACATAAGTTATTCTGTAAGACCACAAAAAGTAGAGCTGTTATAAGTATGCAGGCAGAGAAGGAAAATCTTTACCTGGAATATATGTTTATCCCTATCAGAATAAATAGTGCCCCCATCATGATGAGATGGGTTCAAGATAATCAACCTGCTACTAGATGACCAGCCGATCCCCCAGAAATAATGCCACATTAGGAGCTCAGCAATGACCTCTTCCGTTATCAGGTTGGGCACTCACCAGTGACAGGTTCAATTTTAGTGAAAACATTTTGTATCCATTGATGATATACACTTGAAGAATATTGCCCGCCAGATGACAAAATAAAAATGACACTGTGAAATTAAAATCCTAGCAAATTAAAATGAATCCATAAGAAAGAGTTTGGTTTCCAGGGCTTATTATATAAACACATTTTTGTAGCATCAATGATATGTGCCATGTGCAGAGCAGAGAATAAAACAGAAAAACTGTATAATTTATAACTTTTATGAGCTTAAAAATCAAAGCAAATAGTTTCTAAAAATATGATTGTTGCTGCAAATTAAATAAATGCAAAATGTTATAAGAAATAAATTACTTATGCTTGATGGAGTAAGAAAAGACTTTAGCCAAAGAGCTGAATAATGAAGAATAACAGAGCAGTCTAAAAGAAGAAAGAAAAGGTATGGTGTCTCAGGAAGAGGGAAGAGTTTTTGCAATGTCACTGAGACATAAGGATGAGACACCTCTATTGAATAACTCTAAAAATCACAGTTTGATTGTAGCATTGGGTTATATGGTTCTGCAGGAAGGGGTTGGGGAAATATGGCTAAAATGTTAGCAAGGCCCTGATCATGGAATGTCTAGAACATGGAGGACATTGCTAGCTGGTAATAGTTTTGCCTTTACTTGGGCAGCAAGGAACAATTGGAGGGTTTTAAGCAGGTCAGCAACATGATCAATTATTTTATGTTAGAAAGTTCATTCTGTATAGGGATAAATTGATATAGGGCTAATAGGTGCTTATTAAAAAGGGAAGGAAGCAATGATGGTGACCTGAGTAGGTTTTCACAAATTTGTTGCAAAGGGGAGGTATAGAAGCAAGAAATGTTTAGGAGGTGATATCCCTATGGCTTGGAAATTGATTTGGTTGAAGAATGGGGGGAAAACAGCAGACTCTTAAATGTCTACAAAGTTTAGGGTTTAAATGGCTGGTTGTGTGATGATGCCATTAACAGAGATGGGAAATAAAAGGAATAGGTTTCCTGAAAGAAATTAATTTAATTTAAATAAACAAAATTGATCCAGTTCCTAAATGTAATGGAAATAACGTACAAGGTAGGTGGGTGGCAGTATGAGTCTGGAACACAGGCTTAAATTCAGAATTGAAACCTAGATTATAAATTTAGGAGCATATTGATGGCAGGTGAAGTGATGGATAAAGATTAAATTTTCTAGTAACAGTGGTTAAACGGGAAATCCTGTGCTCCCCTCTATACTCCAATCTCCAAAGGACTGTGAATTTATATGCTAATCCTCAGTTACCTAGAACAATGATTGGTATATAGAAAGTACTCAAAAATGTTTCTTAAATGAGGAGAGAGAAGAAATAAACTGGACCAAGAAAAATATAAATATAAGAAACATCAATATTACAGGGGAGAGCAAGGGAAGCAGTGAGAAGCTCTGAGAAAGATTGGCCAGAGAGAGAAAAAATTAGCAGAGAATAGTTCTGAAAAGTCTAAGTATGACAATGGAAAAGAAGGAATGGCCAAGAGGATCGAATGTTGCCAAGATGTCAAATAAGCTAAAGACAGAAATGTGCAAAATGGAATTGATGATTTGGAGAGAGGAAGAAGAGGCAGAGGGAATGGAAAAGTCAATGAGGAATAAGGAAATAGAGCCAGAGACTGTAAACAACTCTTTAAAAAAATTGGATGGGAAAGAAAAGAAATTTGATAAAAGATAAATGGAGATTCAGAAACACATTTAATTTTTCATTTTTTGTCGTTGGTGATAGTATTTTTTTAAAAGACATTCCTTTTGGCTGAAAGAGATTCAATTAGGTTTATATGCTGCAGAAGAAAAGGAAAGGTTAGAGCTCAAAGAGGAGATGATTGATGAAGCAAAATTTCAGAGAAGACTTAACCAGACACTGGAGGAAATGGTGGTAACTTTATCATCTTAGCGGCAGCTGAAAGTCCCTCACAGTCACCTTCATTTTGGGTTTTGGAAAGACCTGGCTCAAGACTCATCCTGCCTCTGCAGACTTTTCCATGGGTTCCTCTGCCCGGTTTCCATCAGCTGTCACAGCTCAGGATGTATCTTGGCTGCAGTGGGGAGGAAACGAAATCAAGGAAGAACTGGAGAGAAGGATCCAGCATCTGCTTGCGGCTGGAAGCTGACTCCCACACTCAGCATCTTCCCCACACCCGGCCTTCTGCTGTTTGGGCTTTGCGCTTTCCTATGGAGTCCTCTTTATTTTTTTCCTCTGAATCAGAGTGGGTTGGGAAATATAAACACAAGAGTCATGACAAACTTGTCCATGTGGGAAAGAAAAGATGTCATTGCAGTTTTAGCAGAGTATCTGGGTAGCAGTTACAGCAGAGAAAAAGCAGGAGGACTTCATTATGGCTAAAACTTTACTTCTTTTCCTTCCTTTCTTCCTCATTAAATAAACTCTTCTTTGGTCTATAGTAGAAATTCAGAGATGAAAAATTCAGAGATTCCCTGTCCTCAAGGAATTGTTGGTAAGTTGGGTATAGATGTAAAAAATGTGATGTACCAAGGTTTCCATCAGCTGTCAAGGACTGAGACCCCTCCCCACCGAGTGGGAGCAAATTTGCAGGTGGGTTATATCCCATCCCCAGGCCTGAGAACTGAGGATCCTAAGACAAAGAGAGAGAAAAATCTATCTGAAGGAAGGAAGTTTGAGCATGCAGAGTGGGGTGCTGATTCTTCCTCTACAGCAGCTGGAAGAAAGATAATAGAAAAAAGAAACAAGCAGAAGTAGAGGAGAAACACCATTTACTGCTTCATTAAACATTTATAGGGCACCTACTGTGGGCCAGGCACTGGGTGAGATGATGTGCAGAAATATCGGTGGTAATAGCTCCCTAGGGCAAACTCAGAAAATTATAGTCTCTGGTCCACTGATCCCCAGCCAGGGCTCTCCAGACTTGTAGAGGTACAAGAAGATAGCAATGATAAATTCATGGGGTTTTAAAAAATATTTAAAACCTGAACTTAAGATATTTCAATAAGACCAACTATAGAATCCAAGAGTGGGAGGGGCAGTTGCCAACTCGCAAGGCATTATAAGCTATAACTCACGTTCTGCCTCCGGTCATACGGGAATATTTTTCAGTTCTTCAGGAAGTCACACCCTGGGTGTGTGACACATACTGTTCCTTCTGCCTTCTCTCCTTCCTCTACTAGTTAATTCTAATGAGTCATTTGAGACTGGTCTCAGATGCCATATTATCAGGCCCAGAATGGGTTAGATTTATCTTCTAGATTTCCATACCACCTTGGGCTTTTCCTATCTGAGCTTTGATGACGCATTCCACATTGGAATTCTGCTTCCTTTGGTGTCTCCCACAATACTGTGAGACTCTCCAGCATTGGAAATATCTGTGATTCCTCCCTGAAGCTTCAACAGCCAGCGTGATGTTCCAGCTAACACAATATCCAACCTACGGAAGGTGCTTCATAAACGTTTGTTTAATGGAATTACAGTCAGAGAAAGAGCAAGAGTGCTTCACCATGACTAAAAACTTTACTTCGGCCTTTCTCTTGTATTTTTTTTCTTTCAGTTGCTGTGGAAGAATCATCCGCCTTACTGTATGGATGTTCAAACTTCCTTTCACAGAAAAGAATTCTCCTTAAATTTGTCTTGGGACCCTCAGTTTTCAGTGTCAGGGACCATGTAGCCCACCCTGAAAGATCTCTTCTACTCCAAGGGGACGTGGCCTGACACTGCATGGGGCAACGGAAAAAGCACCGTCTGGGGAGCCCCAGAAGATACTTTCAGGGTCTGATTCTGCCACTAATTCCTTCTGTGGCTTCCATATGTTATTTTTCCTCTCTAAATTTCACTTCCTCCTTCTTAAAATAAGGAGTGAGGAGGGGTTGGGGACCAGATGGGAAGTAGCATAGTGTGGGGGAACAGACAGGAACAATATGGAATCAGATCTCTCAGGGATCAGCTCCCAGCTATGCCACATGCACTCTTTGTCATGGAACTTCCCTGAGCCTCAATGCTTTCTGTGAGAAAAGGGAATGACAGTATCTGGCTCTTCTAACCATTGTGAGAATCATAGGCAGGTACCATGTGCCTGTCATTGGTACATACTGAATAAGTCATATTCTTCCTCCCTTAAGGCATCTTGTAGTCCTCATATTTTCATATTCAAGATTCATTATCTTCATGCAGTCAGCCTTAGCCAATATGCTCTTGGACTCTTCCCACATACTCAAATACTTCATTCTTTTTCCATTAAATTATTTTAAAAAGTGTTTATTCCACTTATCCATTCAGTATTTTAAATAATTCACTTGGAAAAAAATCCTACCTCTACTCGATGTTGACTGAGCGATCCTAGACTAGTGGTTTTCAATTTTTTTTGGGTCTCAAGAACCCCTTACACTCTTGAAAATTATTGAGCAACCCAAAGTGCTTTTGTTTATGTACGCTCTCTCTAGTGATAACAGAATTAAAAGCAATTTTGTTTATGTAGGTAATATCTATTTACATTAGAAATTAAAACTGAAACATTATTTTTAAATATTAATTTATTTTAATATAACAATACATCATTACACACTTACAAAATAACATTTTTATGATAACTATATTTTCTTTAAAAACAGTGAACAGTGTAGCATTGTTTTATATTTTTGCAAATTTCTTTAATGTCTGACTTAATAGAAGACAGCTAGATTCTCATATCTACTTTTGCAGCCAGAATCTGTGCAATATATTGTCTGAAGTCTATGGAAAAATCCAGCCTCACACAAATATATAGTTGGGTATAAAATTAATATTTTTAAAACCTTTTTAGATAATTATTGGTATTCTTTGATACTACACCAAAACTTGGCAAGTGGTAATTCCTTAAAGATTACTTGCAATGTGGCCGGGTGCAGTGGCTCACGCCTGTAATCCCAGTACTTTGGGAGGCCGAGGCAGGCAGATCACGAGGTCAGGAGATTGAGACCATCCTGGCTAACACAGTGAAACCCCGTCTCTACTAAAAATATAAAAAATTAGCTGGGCATGGTGGCGGGTGCCTGTAGTCCCAGCTACTTGGGAGGCTGAGGCATAAGAATGGTGTGAACCCGGGAGGCGGAGCTTGCAGTGAGCTGAGATTGCACCACTGCACTCCAACCTGAGTGACAGAGCAAGACTCCATCTCAAAAAAAAAAAAAAAAGATTACTTGCAATGTGAAATATAAAGCCACATCAATGCGCTTTTTGTATTCTACTACATTGAAATCCACTTGGTGTATCTTTTAATTTGAATGGATTATTTTTGCCTACACCTAGTTTTGTAACATTCTGCACTGGCTATATGGAAAAATATCAGTTCACTGAGTTATGCAGATCTTCAAAATGTTGACTCATTTCTTTGTACAATAACAAAAAATCACACTTCTTAGCTTCACCAGAAGTCTACATCATCAGAAAATCTGTAAGTATTAGTATGATGTCAAGCTCCTGAAGGCAGATACAAGTTTTCCAAAATTTTAGTTTTTGCTTGAAAATGTGAATTTAATCATTGGCAGAGAATGCCATGAGTTGTTTTCCTTCAAGGGGCAGGGTCTTTTCATTCATTTTTGAGAAAACTTATGACATATACCATATGAATAACCATAGTTTGTCAGTTGCTCTTTCAAGTAATAAAATTATTTTTTTTAATGCTTAGTAAGGACATTTTTAAGTGAAATTGACTTTTGTTTTTATTTCTGTTTTTTAACTGTGAGTGCATGTGTTAAATAATACAATAACTACTAATAAAGTTTATTGTCACTGCCTCGATTCCTGCTAAGGTACCTATAGTTTTACCCAAAGGATTCATGAACCACATTCTGGGAAAGATTGCTAATATTTTTTTAAAGGCAAAGTAGCCTCAACTGTAGACCAGACTAGACATCAAGTCCAATTTGAGAGCAGTTTTAACTTTTCTTTGACAATGACTGTGGCTTCTTTTCCAGATGACATCTGCCTAGTATGTAATTGGCGACTACATCCAAGTAAACATGTGGAAAATGAGAGCAAGAGGGTGTGTGGGCTCAGAGGGAATTGCTTGTTTGGGGGATGATGGAAGAGTGCAGTTCTGGAAAGAGATCAGTTCTATGAGTGTGTATTTCTGGTCTTCAAAAGATTACCACATACATGCTGTCATACAATTTATAATGTGCCAGAGGGAGATAAGTTGATGTGGAGAAGGAACATAGGCTTTGCAATCAGCCAGGCTTGAGTTCCAGTACCAACTCAGTTGCTACTGTCTATGTAACCTCTGCCAAGTTACTTTACGTTGCTAAGCCTTAATTGCTTTAATTGCCTTGCTAAAGTGCTTAGAATATTAGGATGCTGGGTGTTTAAAGGATGGGATGTTGGATAGATGCTGTTATGGCCACATGGAACCCCTGTCTCCTTTCAGGAATGGAGGACTTAACTTCCCCAGCTGCAGGAAGGGATGCTGAAGACAGCCCTCAGTTTCAGCCCTCCTTAGTCAAGGTCACACCTCCTCTTGAGAGTCAACCTGCCTCCTATGACTGATCTATGGCCTGGCCACTGTATCCCAAATTGGTATAATTCTGAAAGACCATACCAACACCAGAACTCCCCATGGGGTAAGCTGAGGCCTTTGTTGGAGCTATATATCACAGCTCAGCTTCTCACTCTGCCCACCCTGCATTTTTCTCTTCCCTTTCCACAAGTATCATCCCAATTAAGTATGCAAGAGCTCCCCAGTAAAGTCCTATATGTTAATCTTCAATTCAGAGTCTGGTTTCTTTTGAGCTCAACCTGAAGCAGATGTTTTATTAATATTATAATTTTTATTTATAAACCCCCACTCCCTCCCATGATGGGTGGGCCCTCATAGCTGGAGAGTCCTTTGTATACTGAGTAGCCTGAGGGTTGTAAGAGGAGCACTTGGACCCTGGAGCCAGGATAGGGCTCCAGCTAACTCCGTATTAGTCTCCATAATTAGGTGGGAGTCAACATACTTTGTGGGAGGAAGAAATCAAGTTGTGATGAGAGAAGAGGTGGGGATGTTGGGAGAAGAGGATTAGAAGAACCTTCTCTGGAAGAAGAGTAAGAAATAGAAGACTGGGGTTCAGACAGGTCTGATGAGGATATTTATATAGTAAGGATTCTGGAACCACCCTGCTTGGGTATAAGTCTGCCATGTACTTGCTTTATAACTGAACAAGTTACTCTATACTTTTATATCTCATTTTCCTCATCTGTAAAATGAGAATAGTAAAAATTGCTACTTTCAAAAGTTGTTTTAAAAATTAAATAATCTAACTAGAAATTAGAAGATGAAAATATATATTTTGTCATATATTTGTTCACTATCCAATAGGAACTGGGGGAAGCATACAAAATTATAGTAATGAATTTGTATGATGTGGATGTACCTAACTTTAGTAACTGCACAGAAAAGAGAGCTCTTTAAGGTCATATGAGAGACAGAGAAAAGTCGTTGCAGAAGTGGCATTTGAGAAATTGTGGAATAAGTAGGAGTTTGCCAGGAAGGGAAAATGGGGAAAAATAGAGAGGATGACACTTGAGAAGGGTCAGAGATGCAAGAATTTTGGAGACCACAAAGATTTCTAATGTTACTGGTTTGCTCTGACTGGAAGGTACAACAAACACCATAGCCATTCTCTGTCTGATTAATATGACTGCTCATTCCATATACAACTATAGCTTCTTATTCTTTTATTTTTATGAATGTCTTCAATTTGGAGGAACTTACCTATGTTCTCTCTGGAATGGTTGGAGGACATTTGTATGGCAGTGTATAGTGTCATAACCACAGATATGTCTTTCTGTTGACCTTAACTTCCAAACACTGTGATCTGCTTTGAACTTATACTTATTTCCTGGTCAACCTACAGCTTGAGGGCAAGCTCAGAATAAACCACGTTTGTTTGAGAGTTTCGACACTCATCAACTGGGGGAAGCATATTCCATACCCTCTTACCTGTCTGTCAGGCACAGTATGAGAAGAACGTTGACTTTGAGGTCAAATATACCTGTGTTGATCTTAGTTTTGTCCCTACTAGTTGAGTACACTTGCCCAAGTTACTCAGCTTTGCTTATGTTATCTGTCCAATGGAGGTAATTATTATCTCATAGAGTGGTTGAGAATATCAATGAATTATTAAATGTCAAATTATTGGTACAATGCCTAATATGTATTAGGTACCTAGTAAGTATTAGTTCTCCTCTTGTCTCTTTGCAAATATGAAAACTGTTGACCTTCAGATGTGCGCCAGTGCATGTGAAGTCAATGTGGGGATTAGAGTTGGCCTCTTTCACCTCCAAATTAAAATCAAACTGTGCAGATTCTTAAATGCACCCAATTTAGACTACCTATAGATTAGAGAGCCACAGCACACTTCAAGTGATAAACGGTAGGATTTTTTTAGTCAATTTGATGAATCGCTTTTAACAATTTTACAGGGTTATCTGTTATGAAATACTAACCCTAATCTTATTCATATCTTTAATATTATCCATTCACCTTGATGCTTCCAGTGATTTAAAGATATTTTATTTTTTATTGACACATTTTTGTAAGCTATCACAAATTCCTTATGGAAAGAGTAAGATATACAACACACAAAACAATGGAATGAAGTACGATAAATAAAATAGCCAAACAAAGAATTTATCGAGGGCAACTTTCTGCCTCAATGTGTGCTTTGTATCTTAATTAGGCTGAAAGCCTTGGGAAGCATACCATTTTATTGAACAAACACTATTTGACCTTTCTAATATTTTATTTTTACCCACAAAGAAAATATCCAAAGAACGAAACTTTCTGATATGGAACAAATTCTTATTTTTCTTTGGCACATACTTTGTATTGGATTGTCAAAGACAAAGGAAGAAAGGCTCGCTGAGAGCCATGGGAGAGTGTGGTGTTTTCAATGCACCTGGCATTCCTGGCTCTTCTCCTACTGGGGCATAGGGCTGTGTGAAGGGCTGGACGTTTTCAATCACAAATTCTTGCTTTGTCTATAGCATTAACCCTGTGAGCCTTCTCCACTCTTTCTATGACACTTGGCATCTATCTCCTTCCCCAACCCTGGGCTGATAGAACAAACTGGTAGAATCAGTTGACACAATCTCTATCAGAAGCAACTGGCCTTGTCTTATCCAGAGCCAATAACGCACAACACACAAGATGGCTGAAGTCCAAGGTTCCTGCACATTAACAGATGGAGGGGAATTATCAGTGGAGAAATACAACCAAGCACCATGTGGATGGGTGACAAGAAGTCTTCTGGCCAGAGGAACAGATTACATACCAGCACTGCCTTGGCTCACTGCCCCGAAGAAATACATAGCAATCCACACTCGGGGAAAATTCCATGAAATAGCAGAGCAGGAACATCCTGAAGCCAATGGCAACACATTCCAAGAAAAACATCCAATGAACCAAACCCAAAACAACACAGACCTCAGAAACGTAAATAAGAATTAACTGAAAAAGGAAACCTTCAGAGTCTTGGGAAGCAACACAACAGATTAAGTGACCACAAAACACTAAAACACCAACTAGTTATTTACCCACTGCTTTGCGGTAAATATAAGGCCCATAGTCTCCAGGAGGTTATTTCTGGGCGCCAAGGACTTAGCACATAGTCCAGCAAAGAGCTTGGGCTTTATTTTCCTACCCAGGGCAAGTGGCATTTGTAATGGGCCTGAGAACCAGAAAGAAGATATTTTTGAACTACTTAGTCTTATGGCTATTTATAAGGATGAGAGAAGATCAGAGGGTGGGAAATGCACTGGGCTTCAAGTTAGAAGACTAGGGTTTGCATTCTTACTCTGCCACTGACTAGCTCTGCTGTCTTGGCAAGCTACTTAACCAAGCTGAGCTTTGATTTCCTCACTTGGAGAAATGAGTGGATAATAAAAATTATTATTTGTTCCTCATGGGGTTGATCTGAATATTAAATGAGAAAATGGAAGTACTCCTAAGAGGCAGAGTACAATGCAGTAGCCAGCCATTATTATGGTTGTTTCTATTGCTGTTACTACTTCATTACCCTAGGATCACAGGAGAATTCACGTTTGCTAACTTGAGATGAATTTCCTGATAGCTGAGGTTTGCCCTCACCCCCAAGCATCTATCTCAATGAATTATCTGCTTCCTTGAGAAGGTTCTTGTACATAGTTTAAACTTTTCTTGATGACTTAGAACCAAAGATATGAACATCTATTATTGTCCTCAGTAGCTTACAGTTAGTTCTGTTTGATTTTTCTCTCTTTCTTCTGTGAAGTCAAGCAAAGCCACAACCCACAACTCCTGACCTGTCTATATTTGTTTATTTATTTATTTTTGAGATGGAGTCTCACTCTGTTGCCCAGGATGGAGTGCAGTGGTGCAATCTCAGCTCACTGCAACTTCTGCCTCCTGGGTTCAAGTGATTCTCCTGCCTCAGCCTGCCAAGTAGCTGAGATTACAGGTGCCTTCCACTATGCCCAGCTGATTTTTCTATTTTTAGTTGAGATGGAAATTCACCATGTTGGCCAGGCTGGTCTCAAACTCCTGACCTCAAGTGATCCGCCCACCTCAGCTTCCCAAAATGCTAGGATTACAGCTGTGAGCCACAGCACCCAGCCAAAACTAATCTCTTCCTGACCTGTATTAATAGCTTCTCCTACCTCTATTTTGCTTGCCTATTTCTAATTTGGTCCACCTCAGATGATCAAGCTTGGTAGAAATGAGTGCTAACCATGAAACAGAGAGTCTCTATTTAGAATTTTGGTGATAAAATATGAGGCATTCATACAGGGACTTTGAGATCACCACAGTAGAGTGTAGAGACATATTTTGGCTCAAGATTAGAGAGTGGAAGGTGTCAGAGAAGCTAACCTCAGGGTGAGCACATAGTGCCTGAATTAGGAATGCTTTGGATATGTTTGGCTCACTCACATATCTCTCTCATTTTGATGTAGGTAGGTACAAGTGTGATACTTATCAATTTATAGTTGGTGGGGAACAAAGCCTGAGTCAGCCTCATTAGGGGCAAGGAAGTATTTTGAAGACCTGCGGGAACAACTCATATGTGTCAATCCACACATAACAATTTAGATTGTTTTGACTAAATTATACTTCCTATCAAGATCTAGAGTCATTCAGTTCAGCAAAATGACTTCAGGGATCAGCTTCTTAGCTGAATCAGATCATTGTTTTACTGATTTCACCTAAACAAACTGTTGTTTAAGTATCCCAGCTTTTCACCATGGTGGAATTATGATAGAATCACAGGACATAGTGCTAGAAGAGCCCTTCCATGTCATGCATCCCAGTGGTTCCCAAGTGCTACTCTGAAGACCCATGTTGGTCCACAATACAGAACAGTACAGGTTCCCAAGTACTACTCTGAAGACCCATGTTGGTCCACAACAAGTTTTCACAGGTCTGTGGAAAAATGAGAAAAAAATAAGGACAATAAGACGATTCAGCATCTTTCCCCATGAGGTTAATGTAATCATTTTAGAGTCATGTCTTATATTTCATAATTTTTCTTTTTTTTCTTTTTTGGAGTTCCTTGTCCTTTAATTTGAAATGATTGTAATGGTAAGTGACAGTTATTTTTCAAAAATCTATTTCTCAGATCAAAAAATTGACCATGTTATGTTAGGCTCCTGGTTGGTACTGGTCTTTTGTTGTTGTTGTTGTTGTTGTTTGTTTATTTGTTTGTTTGCTCTATAAACTTCAAAAATTTGGGAACTTCAGATCTAGACAAGCTCCTTATTTTTCAAATGGGGAAACAGACTCCCCCAAATTGTCAAAGTTCACACAACTGGGAAGATGGAAAATTAGGACCAAAGCTTGGCCCCCCTGTTCTCTTTGCCCCACAGCTATCTCCTCAACAAGTAGAATGTTATAATTATGACCAATTCTGTTGAATGAGAAGAATGAAGCTCTGAAAGAAGAAGCGATCAGAGAAAAGGAAACCTCTTTCTCAAGTACACACCAAAGTGCCCGAAACTGATACTTCATGTATGTTATTTTCTTTATCTCTTACAACAACCCTAAAAAGAGATACAGTTGAATACACATTATAAATAAAGAAAACTAAGTTCAGAGGTGTGATAGATACCTTAACGACTCAGAATCCATCAAACTATAATATCACCAATTTACATGCTATTCAACAAATATCTGTTGAGTGTCTTTCTTGTGCTAGGTAAGACTAATGCTAATGTAATTGAAAGATTTTAGCAAATTATACAGTGATAAACAGATATTCAATGACTTTTTAAAAAACTATCTATCTAAAAAATTCCTGTGAGGCTGGTTATTATTATTTTCATTTTATAGATGAGAGAGTGAAATTAGTAGAGTTCAAATGTGTTACCCAAAGTCATATTTTGGCATGTTGCTGTGACTGGCTTTCTGATTCCTAATCCTGTTCCCCTTTCTCTATACTCTGCTAGGGATATCTTTTTCCAGAGAAGAGGCATGGTGCACCAGAAAAACCTTAGTATGCAAATAATCATGGGCCAATCGGCCACAATTATTTCTTTGAAAAGGTAGGAGCGAAAGAAGAGTTGATGGAGACACCAGGCATGAAAGGGTCATAAGTTCTGGGCTTTCCAATAATAAGCCATTCTCCTCCAGATGATTTTAATAATCTCTAGCACATGTGTTCTAACCCCTTGATGCTGTACAATATGTGTAACCAAATAAAAGATCTCTCCAGATTTAGAGATTTACTGTTTGTGATGGGAAAAGGCCAACCAGATGACATCATTTATATTCCAAATATGAGCTGCTGCCAAGGCTGGTGATGTTAAGCTGGAGAAATTGATCCTCAACATTATTCTTTGAAGGGAAAAATAAAACTGGTCTTGGCCTAGATGGTGTCTTTTTAAAAAATAATTTATGTAAATATGAAGATGAGTTTAATAAACTTCTATTTTATCCAGGATTGCTTATGTCCAGTGTGTGGGTTGTTTAGATACAAAATCACTTCCAAATAATTAAACAAACTGGGTTAGGGCATACAAGTTAGCATTTTATTGTTGTTGAGTGGATAATTGATGGGGGATTGACCTGAGGCTCATCTGCCCTCAATTAGCAAAGCATACAAGTTTCCAGGGCTGTGGTCACTCATTCAAAAGCAAAGGTGCCCAATTTGTAATGGTGGAGAATAGTATACTCTGCATCCATCCCTCAACTTCTTCCTTTATATCCTGGAGGACATGGATGCCTGAAGAAAACCATGGTAGTGTTAGGAAGGAGACACAGGAAAGATTGATACCATTCCTAGTTCTAAAGATAAATCTCAATTAATCTAAGCCAATAAACAAGTGACATTTCCCCCATGGTCAGTGATTTAGTAGTGACCTGTAATAAAGATAAAGGAAAAGACTTATATTCCATTATTGAGGAAAATACTTTTCCTTCTCTTTCTCAGTGATGACAACAAAGAAGCATCTAGTCCCAATTGATATTGGCATCCATGTTACATTCTCAAGGGGGACCAGCTTTAGGATGAGGCCAGTGTTTTGGATGGCTGAATGCAGAGATGGAAAAAGCCAAAATGCTTGATTATACTATTGAGCCACTGATTGTGCTATGCCTTCTGAGTTCCTAGAGCTCCTCCTAGAGCTATTGCATTTCCTTATTCTTTAAGCCAGTCTGAGTTTCTATTGCGTGCAGCTGAAAGCATCCTAACTGATAGGGAGCAATGACAAAATTTGCTTCCTGAGGTTCCATCAATTTATTGAACCATATACTCATGGTATTTTCAAAGATGGAGAATCTTAAGTTTGTTTTCATGGTTTTTTCGTATCCAGCTGTCACTACACTCACAGTGATTTTCTAAAACAAAAACTGCTGATAACACTCCCTGGCTTCTTGATATAGCCCCTGCTACCCTTCCAGCTCCATCTCTCATCAAGCCCACCAGCCCTCTCCCAAAGTCCTATTATTCTAAAGCACCATACTTTCATCTCTGGCCTTGCTCCTGCTCTTTCCACTGCCTGTAACAATCTCCTTCACTACCTCCTTCCCCACACTCACCCTCCATCAAATCTTGGCTTAGGCATGACTTCCCTTGGGAATCTGTCCCTTCCTTACTCCTCCTAATACTCTTCCAAGACCCCATTCATCCCCCATCAGAGCATTTTTCACACTACATGGAAATGACACTCATTTCTCTTGGACTGTGGATCCAGTGAAGGCAGGAAACACCTGTTTTGTTTATAGTTTTGTCCCTAGGACTTAACATATAGTTGGTATTACACAAAATATTCATTGAAAAATTATGAACTAATTACTTAAATCTATTCAAATATTCCTTCACTGCCTAGTGCCCAATTTGCCTTAGTATGGCTTTTAATGATCTGGCCCTGACTTCCTGTCCAGATCTCTCTCCTATTACTCACCCCTAAATTTCTTATTTAAAGTGCACTGATTCATGCATCCTCTGCTGTTTCATATCTCAGTGCCAATGACAGGCATTTTGTTACGTCCTGAAACTGGCCACTGTTGTGTAGTTCTTCTTCTTTAGGTTGAGAT